>NC_000018.10:15110849-15410899 GCF_000001405.40 Homo sapiens
TTTTTCTTATAATGGCTGATTAATAATTAATTTTTAGAGAAATATGAGTTGATGTATGGATTTTTAAAATTCATTGATTAGTCAATAAGCAAATACTTTGCTATCAACTGTGACATGCTAAGCATATTAGGTGAATAGTACAAAATGTTGAGCAAGATGCCCTTGGTCCCTTCCTTCGAGAGATTACATTCCCATAGGAGGGTGGTAAATTCAGAAATACATCAATATAAATAAAGTATATAGGTAGGAATCTAGACAGTGTGATACATGTTCTCATAGTTTACAGAAACACAAGAAAAATATCTGTAACCTGGATGTAAGTGACAAAGAAAGGAAGACTGTCTATGCTGAAGGATTGTTGGATACCATTCTAGGCCTGCTTCATGGCTTGTTTCTGTCCACAGAAGGCCAGGGAAACTTTGTTCACCATCATGGGATATGGTTGAGGTATCAAGCACCTCTAAGAAGGACCACATTATCCCCATATTTTAGAAGGGTCTTCTTTTGAAAAGACTTCTTTCTCCAGTGCATTGTCTGGGCAACTATATATATATATATATATATATATATGTATATAAATTTATCTTTGTGCCAATCCTACAATGCCTTGATTAATGTAGTTTTACAGTCAATTTCAAATCAGGAAGTCAGGGTCTTCCAACTTCAATCTTTTTCAAGATGATTTTGGCCATTCTTGGTCCCTTACATTCCTTATGAATTTAAATATCACCTTGTCAATTTTGAAAAAGGAAACTTGGATTTTGATAGAGAATGTACTGAATCTGTAGATTATTTTGAAAATTTTACCATTTTAATAATATTAATTTTCTTACACATAACCATCAGGTGGCTTACCTTTCATTTAGTTTCTTTCAACAACAGTTTTTAGTTTTCAGTGTACATGACTTTGATTCTTTTGTTAAATTTATTCCTAAGTGATTTTAAATTTTAGATGTTATTTTAAATGGAGTTGCTTTCTTAATTTTTGAATTTTTCATTGAAAGTGTATAGAAATACAGCTGCTTTGGGGGTAGTCATCTCATATCTGGCAGTCTTACTGAATTCATTTCTTAGATTTAAGAGGTTTTTATGCAGATTCATTAGAATTTTCCATGTCCAAGATTATGTCATCTGCTAATAGAGATAGTTGTATTTCTTCTTTTCCAATCTGGATGACTTTTATTTCTTTTTCTTGCCAAATTGTCCGGGCCAGATCCTTCAGTACAATGTTGCACAGTCACTGTGAGAATATCCATCTGTCCTGAACTTAGAGGTAAATCATTCAGTCTTCACTATTAAGTATAATGTTGGCTTGGGGCTTTTGTAAATAAGGCTTGGGGCTTTTGTAAATAACCTTTATTTGGTTGAGCTAGTTTCCTTCTATAACCAGCTTCCTGGGTCTTTTTTTTTTTTTTTACTTTTTTGTTTTAAATAGTGTGTGATTTTGTCAAATGCTTTTTCTGTATCTATCATGTATTTTTTTGTCCTTTATTGTATTGAGATGGTATTTTACCCTGACTTATTTTTGAATGTTAAAACAAGCTTGTATTCCCAGGACAAATCCTTGGTCATGGAAAATAATCAGTTCTTTTCTATATATTGCTGGATGTAGTTTGCTAATATTTTGTTTAGAAATCTTGCATTTATATTCATAAGGTATTTTAGTGTGTAGTTTATTTTCCTATGATGGCTTTGTTTGGTTTTGGTATTAAGGTAATTTTGGCCTCACAGAATAAGTTGGGAAGTGCTTGCTCTACCTTTTAATTTAATTTTATTTTTGAATAGTTTGTGAAGGATTGATATTACCATTTCATAAACATTTGGTAGAATTCACCAATGAAGCCATCTGGGCTTGGACTACCCTTTGTGAAAATAATTTTATTACAAATACAATTTCTTTAATTGTTATTGGTTTATTTAGATTTTGTATTTATTCTTGAGTCATTTAAATTAGATTATGTCTTTGAGGAGTCAATTTCATCTAGGTTATATAATTTGTGGACATACACCATTTTTAGGTAACTGAAAATTCGTTAGTGCTGCTATTCCTTTTCATTCTGATTTTAGTAATTTGAGTCTTTGTTCTTTGTTTTCCTATTTCATCTATCTAAAGCTTTGTCACTATTTGTTGACCTTCTTAAAGAATTACACATCTTTTATTTCACTGGTTTTCTCTATAACTTTTCTAATCTTTATTTTATTTATTTCTACTCTAATTTTTATTATCTCCTTCCTTCTGCTTTTTTGACTAGAATTTGCTCTTCTTTTTCTAGTTTCTGAAGATAGTCTATTATTGATTTGGATTTTTAAAAATATGGACATTGGCAGCTATACTTTTTCCTCTGAGTACTATTTTAACTTTATCCTCTAAGTTTTGGTATGCTTTGTTTCTATTTTTTTAATCTCACAATATTTTCTCATTTTTCTTTAACTTATTCCTCAATTCATTTGTTATTTAGGGAGTTTATTAATTTTCACATATTTGGGATTTTTCCAAATTTTCTTCTGTAATTGATTTCAAATTTCATCCCATTTGGGCCAAAGAACATACATTGTATGATCTCAGTCATTTACATTTATTGTGCCTTGTTTTGTAAGCCAATGGACAGTCTAAGAATGTTCCAGGTATGGTTGTTCCATGGGTGTCTTTTAGTTCTAGTTTATTTTTAAGATTGATCCTTGTAATCTTCTGCTTTGTTGTTCCATCTACAACTGAGAGTGAGGTACTGAAACTTCCAACTATTGTCAAATTGTTTATTTCTCTATCATTTCTGTGTATTTTTGCTTTATGTTTTTTAACTTATTTTTTATTTTTTGATTTTTTTTGATACACAATAGAAGTACATTTAGAGTAAACGATAGTCACTCTCCTTATCTCTCAAAGAGTAGATCTTATTTCTTCTACCAAACTAAGTATTTGTACCCACTAATCAACCTCTCTTTGTTACTCCTCACCCTCTATCTTTCCTGGCCTCTGGTAAACCACCAATCTACTCTCTATCTTCATGAGATCCACTTTTTTGGCTCCCATTTATGAGTGCGAACATATGACATTTGTCTCTCTGTGTCTGGCTGATTTCACTTAACATAATGACCTCCATTTCTGTCCATGTTGCTGCAAATGGCAGGATTTTATTCTTTTTTAAGATTGAATAATATTTTATTGTCTTCATTCTTGTCTTCATTCTTTCATCTTTTTATGGGTGATTAGATTGATTCCATATCTTGACTATTGCAAATAGTACTGCAATAGACATGAGAGCACAGATACTTCTCTGATGTGTTGATTTCCTTTATTTTAGATACATAGTCAGCAGTGAAATTGCTGGTTCTTGACCCTAACTTGGATTTAAATAATGTAAAAGAAAACTTATTTTTGTCTCATAATTGGCACTTATTATCAAGTGCTGATGAAAATATTTTCATTTCAGGTGATATTAAATTCTACTCTAATGCAAAAGATAAAGGAATGGTATCAATGAAAATGACGGAGTGAGGGCATCAGCAAATTACTTCCTCCATAAAGGCAATTTTAAAAACTGGCAAAAATAATCAGGGTCAACATTTTTAGAACTTGAAAAATTAGCCAAATGCTTTGAGGAATCCACAAAGTGTTTATTCAAAAAACAAACAAAAAAGGTGGAAGTTTGGTAAGAACTGTAAGTGGCTGTACTAATTTATAGTCCCACGAACAGTAAACGAGCATCCTTCTTTATCTACATCCTCAGCAGTATCTCTTATTTTCTCTTTTTGAAAAAAAGAAATTCTCTAACTAGGGTTAGAGAATATCTCATTGTTTTGATCTGCATTTTTCTGAAGATCAGTCATGTTAAACATTTTTCATACACCTATTTGCCATTTGCATGTTTCCTGGTGAGAAATGTCTATTTAATCTTTTGCCCAGTTCTTAATCAGATTTCTTTTCTATTGGACTGTTTAAGCATCTCATATACTCTGGTTACTAGTTCCTTGTCAGATTGACAGTTTGCAAATACATTATTCAACTCCATGGCCTGCATCTTCAGTTTGTTGATGGTCTTGTTTGCTAGACAGAAGCTTTTTAGCTTAATGTAATCCCATTTATCTGCTTTTGCTTTTGCCTGTGATTTTGAGGTCTTAAAAATAATCTTTGCCCAGACCAATGTCCTGGAGTGTTTCCCAAAAGTATACTTCTAGTGTCATAGTTTTATATCTTAGATTTAAGTCTTTAAGTCATTTTGATTTGATTTTTGTATATGGTAAGAAATAAGGGGTTAGTTTCATTCTTCTGCATATGGTTATCTGGTTTCCTAGCACCATTTATTATAGAGACTGTCCTTTTCCCATTGTGTATTTCTAGCATCCTTGTCAAAAATGAATTGGCTCATTTGCATAAATGTTGTAATGCGTGATTTACATCTGGGTTCTCTATAGACTATTTCATTAGTCTATGTTTCTGGTTTTGTTTGTTTGTTTGTTTGTTTTTGAGATGGAGTCTCGCCCTGTCGCCCAGGTTGGAGTGCAATGGTGTGATCTCAGCTCACTGCAACCTCCACCTCCCAGGCTCAAGAGATTCTCCTGCCTCAGACTCCCTAGTAGCTGGGATTACAGGTGTGCGCCACCACACTAATTTTTTTTATCTTTAGTAGAGACAGGGTTTCACCATGTTGGCCAGGTCTCAAACTCCTGACCTCGTCATCCACCCTCCCAAAGTGCTGGGATTACATGCGTGAGGCACCGCACCTAGCCAATGTTTCTGTTTTTATGCCAGGACCATGTTGATTTGGTTACTATAGCGCTGTAGTAAATTTTGAAGTCATATAGTGTGATGTCTCCAAGCTTTGTTCATTTTGCTCAGGATTGCTTTGGCTACTGGGTTTTTTGTGGTTCTATATCAATTTCAGGATTTGCTTTCTATTTATGTGAGAAACATGAATATTTTGATAGGGAGTGAAATGGATTTATAAATTGTTTTGGGTAATATTGTCATATGAATCAAATTAATTTTTCTAACTAATGAGTATGGAATAGTTTTCCTTTTTTCTGTCCTCTTCAATTTCTTTCATCAATGTTTTACAGTTTTTCTTGTATACATCTTTTACTTCTTTGGTTAAATTGATTCCTAGGTGTTTCATATTCTCTGTAGCTGTTGTAAATGGTAATTTTTAAATTTCTGTTTCAGATCGTTCCCTGTTGGCATATATAAATGCTACTGATTTTTATATGTTTATTTTCCATCTTGCAACTTTACTGCATTCGTTTATCTATTCTAAGAGTTTTTTCATGGCATCTTCAGGGTCCTTTTCAAGTATAACATTATGTTATCTGCAAACAAGGATAATTCAGCTTCTTCCTTTCCAATTTGGAATATTCTTTAATTCTCTTGCTTAATTGCTCTTGCTAAGACTTTCAGTACTATGTTGTATAAAACTGGTGAAAGTAGGCATCCTAGTCTTGCTCCAGATCCCAGAGGAAAGGCTTTCCATTTTTCTCCATTGAGTAAGACGCTAGTTGTCGTTTGCCATATATGGCTCTTATTATTCTTAAGTATGCTCATTCTATACCCAGTTTGTGGAGGGATTTTATCTTAAAGAGATGTGGAATTTCATTGAGTGGTTTTTTTTTAGCATTTATTTAAAGGATCATATGTTTTTTGCTCTTGCTTACTAATGTAATTATTGATTTATATATGTTGAGCCATCCTTGCATCCCTGGAATGAATCCCAGTTGATTATGGTGTAAGATCTTTTTAATGTGTTGTTGAAATTGGTTTGCTATTATTTCGTTGAAGATTTTTGCTTCTATGTTTATCAGTGATACTGCTCTGTAGTATTCTCTTTTTGTGTGTCCTTGTCTGGTTTGGGTATCAAAATTATGTTGGCCTGGTAGAAGGAGTTGGGAAGTACTCATTCTACTTTAACTTTTTAAAAGAGTTTGAGAAGAATTGGTATAATCTCTTTTTTAAATATTTGGTAGAATTCAACAATAAAGCCATAAGGTCTTCCTTTGATGGGAAAATTTTTATTATGACTTCAATCTAATAAAGGTACTGATAATATTATTCACTATTGGTTTGTTGAGGTTTTCTATTTCTTCATGGTTCAAACTTGTAGGTTGCATGGGTTCAGGAATTTATTCATTTCTTCTAAGTTTTCAATTTATTAATTTATAGATGTTTGTAATAGTCTGTAATGATTATTTGTATTTCTGTGGTCTCAGTTTTTATGACTCCTTTTTTGGTTTCTGATTTTATTTAGGTCTTCTCTCTTTCTTATTCTGGCTAAAGGTTTGTTGAATTTGTTTGTCTTTTCAAAAAACAACTTTTTTTTAATTGATCTTCTGTATTATTTTTAGTCTAATTTTTATTCATTTCTGCTAAGATTTTTATCATTTGTTTTCATTTACTCACTTTGGGTTTTGTTTATTCTTGCTTTTCTAGTTCCTTAAGGTGCATTGTTAGATTGTTTATTTTGTTTCTGATTTCTGTAGCTAGGCATATATACATTTATAATTGTTATAACTTCCTGATGAGTTGAATCACTCATCATTTTATAATGTCTTTGACTTCAGTAACAAATTTTGTCTTAAAATATATGTGTCTGTATTAGTATATCTAGCTCTATTTTGGCCACTCATGGTATATCCCCTTCCTTCACTTTAATTTCAACGTATTGTGTCTTTGAATATAAAGTATCTCTTTTAGAGAGCATATAGTTAACCATACTTTTATCCATTCTGCCAATCTCTAAATTTTTAATTTTTGTAATATTTTTATTAAATGTAATTATGATGATATAATTAAAAATAACCAGGATAAATTCAATGGGATAAAATCAAAACTACTTGGAATGGCATATTGATCAATTAAAATCAATATTTCATACATTCTGTTTTATTTCCTTTTTATTTTTTTTCCTTGGGGTATAATGCACATAAAATAAAATTTGATATCTTAATTATTTTACATATATCGTTTAGTGGTGTCGGTTACATTTGCAATGCTATGCAACCATCATCATTATTTGCAAAACTTTTTATCATCCCGGGGAGAAATTCCAAACTCAGATAGAAACTCATTAAGCAAGGTGAGTGCCCTTGTTAAAAATCGATTTTCCATAGATGTATAGGTTTATTTCTGAACTCTCAATTTTATTCCATTGGCCTGTATGTTTATCCATGTGCCAGGATCATACTGATTTGATTACCTGGCTTTGTAGCAATTGGGTAGTGTGAGTTCTTTCAATTTTTTCTTTTATTTTTCAACGTTTCCCTTCATTTGCCTTCACCCCAGCCTATGGTAGCCTCTCCTCTATTTTATGTCCCTATAATATATATTTTATATAGGTGGAATCATACAATATTAATACTTTTGTGTCTGGCTCATTTCACTCAGCATAATGTTTTCAAGGTTAATCCAAGTTTTAGCATGCATCAGAACTTCATTTCTTTCTATTGCTGAATAATATTTTATTGCAGTTATATAGAATATTTTGTTTATCCATTCATCTGTGGATAGTTACTTGGGTAGCTTTCACCGTTTGACAATTATGAATAATAAATATTGGTATACAAGTACCTGCATGAGACTTTGTTTTCCATTCTTTTGGTCATATACCTAAGAGAGAAGTTGCTGGGTCATATGGGAGTTCTATTATTAACATCTTGGAAAACTGCCAAACTTTTCTACAGCATCTGTACTATTTTACATTCCCATCATCAATGTCTGAGGGTTACAATATCTCCACATTCTCACCAAGATTTATTATTTTTCTTTTTTAAAAAAATTATATAATTATCCTGGTAGATATGAAGTAACAACTCATTGTGGCTTTTATTTGAATTTCCCTAATGGCTAAAAATGTTGGACGTCTTTTTTGTGTGCTTATTGGTCATTTGTATAACTTATTTGAGAAACACCTATTCAGACGGAGTTTCGCTCTTGTCGCCCAGGCTGGAGTGCAATAGTGCGATCTTGGCTCACTGTAACCTCCGCCTTCCAGGTTTAAGCGATTCTCCTGCCTCAGCCTCCCAAGTAGCTGGGATTACTGACACCCACCACTTCGCCCGACAAATTTTTGTACTTTTAGTAGAGACGGAGTTTCACCACGTTTGCCAGGCTCGTCTCAATCTCCTGACCTCAAATGATTCACTCGCCTCGGCCTCTCAAAGTGCTGGGATTCCAGGCTTGAGCCACCGCGCCCGGATGGTTGTGTGCATTTCTGTTGTTGAGTTGTAGGTCTTCCTTTTAGATTCTGATTATTAAACCCCTATTAGATATATAATTTGCAAATATTTTATCCACTTCTATACGTTATTTCACTTTATAATGTCCTTTGATAAACAATATATTTAAATTTTGATGAATTTCAATTTGTCTAACGTTTCTTTTGTTGCTCATTATTTTAGTTTTACACAAAAATAGATTAAAGGTCAAATTTAAAAATCATGTAGATTTACTCATGTTTTCTTCTAAGCATGCTATAAGTTTAACTCTTATATTGGGTCAATGAATCATGTTGAAGTAATTTGTTATATGGCATAAAACGCAGACCCAATTTTATTCTTTTAAATGTAGAAATACAGTTGTCCCACACCATTGTTGATAAGACTATTCTTTTCCCCATAGAATACACTTGGTGCTCTTATTAAAAATCAGTGTTCCATAGATGTATGGGTTTATTTCTGGACTCTCTATTTAATTCTATTGGCTTGTATGTTTATCTGTTTGCCAGGGCCATACTGATCTGACCATCTAGCTTTGCAGTAATTGGGAAGTGTGAGTCCTTTCATTTTGTTATTTTCTTTTTCAGCACTGTTTGGAGTATTCAGATCCCTTTGCAACTCCACATGAGTTTGAGGACTGGCTTTTTCATTTCTGCAAAGGGGCTGTTGGAATTTTGATAAGAATTGCTTTGAACTTGTAGATCACTTTGGGTAGAATTGGAAATATAACAATACTAAGTCTCTCAATATTTTCATTTATGCAGGTCTTCTTTAACTTTTTTAGCAATGTTTTGTAGTTTTCAGTGTACAAGTCTTTCACTTCCTTGTTCAAATTTGTTCCTAGGTATTTTATTCTTTGAGATAATGTTATACATTGGAATGCTTTATTAATTACTTTTTTTCTACTTGTATTCATAGGGAATATTGGTCTGTAACTTTCTGTTCTTTGGATTTCTCCATCTGACTTTGGTATAAGGATAATGCTTGTCTCATGTAATGACTTGAGAAATGCTCCTTCTTCTATTTTTTGGAAGAATTTAAGATGAATTGGTATTTATTCTTTTTTACATGTTTGACAGAATTCACCAGTGAAACATCTGATACTGAGCTTTTGTTGTTGTTGAGGAGGAGTTTTGATTACCGGTCTATTCTCTGTACTTGTTATAGGTCTGTTAAGAATTTCTTCTTCTTCTTGAATCACATTAGATAATTTATGCGTGGTTAAAAATTTGTCCATTTCATCTAGGTTATCTAATTTTGAGGTGTACAGTCCATTTCACCTAGGCTGTCTAATTTTGGGGTGTTCATAGTATTTCTTTACATTTCTTTCTGTCGTTAGAGACAAGTATAATTAATAAATATAAAATATGGTATTCTCCTATTTCCACAATGATCAAGAACAAATTCTTCAATTTTATGTTTTTATTATGTCCTCTCTCCCGAACTTCACTCCTATCATTTTCCTTTCTTGGGAATCTTGGTGAAGGAGTTTTGCAAACAACATTAAATTTCAGAATCTGATTTTGGAAATTGTTGACAAGATTCTGGCTAGTTTCAGACATTTGAAAGCTTTGTTCTGAGTGAAATAATTTACAAATCCTCATCTTTTACACTAGTTCATTGGTATTTAAAACCAATAGGATTAAGTGATGCCCCTTTGTTGGTGGCCAAAGATGAAATCTGGAATTAAAGATATTTTTACCTTTCCTCCACCATTCAGGGACCAATGAAAATTATAGATAATCTGGGATAAATCTCTCATAACCTTACTATTTGATTATACATTACAAGCTTCCCCTGCTTTTCTCTCTCTCTGTCTCTCTGACACACACACACAAACACACACACACACACACACATTTTTTCCTAACCAGCAATCAGTGTCTTAACACAATAAAAACTGTTCTTCTTTTCACGGTCTTTAGTTCTAATGCAGAAAGATTTAACACTATGTATAGAGAGTCTTTCTCAAAAAAAAAGTGGCAGCATTTTTTATGATGTTGATATAGTTACCTATTTTAGAAATGTTAAGACCAGTCTTGATATAGATTTGAAATAGTAGTTAAATAATATACTAAACATATATATCCATGAATGTATTTCATCAGGAATGTTAATAATAGAACATTTACCCTGGAACATTGGATAGATAACTCTGCGATAAAGATCATTAGACATTCGGCTGCAATGATCTTTGCCTACCGAGAGAATTTGTTCAAATGCTTATGTGTGCATCTGTAGAAGATCCTGCAATGTTGCTAAACTGTTCAAACCCAAGGTGACCAGTACATTTCCCACTAAGTGAAAAATACTGACCTGGATGATGACTCAGATTTTCTCTCAATCTTAAGTCTCTATCATTTAAAATAAGTTTGGGTGTCTAGGGTTATGAGATCAAATTGTATTTCTTTGTCACTGGAAATCCCCACTTCAAACCTTAAGAACAAGCCATTCAAAAGCTTGCACTGAGGCAACACACTTAATAGGAAAGCATGACTTCATTTTGGCATGATTCGTCTTCAAATCAGGTCAGTGATTTAGATTTGAATGAGTGGATTGTTCATGGGCACCGGATCAAATTAGACTTTCATTTATTTTAAGAAATTCATTAGACCAATTATGACAACCACAGAGGGATGTCTTATGACTGAGAAGTGCAAATTATAAGAACAATAATATCCATTGTTAAGTGTGAGATGAAAATTTCTGTGTAGCTTGCTCATTAACATCTGCTTCCTTTTACAGAAATGATTTTTATGTAATGTAGATGGCAGGTATAAAACACTGAACCAAAACACAATTACCGAGTTTATAACATTCTGGTAAATGCAAATCGTTTATAAAATAAAATCAGGTCAGAAAATTTAAAGGAAACTGAAAATACCAAATTTCTTTTTTAGCATTATGTTATATATTGTGGAAATACACTAATTAGGTTTCAAATAAATAGAAACAAGAATCAAATTATTATATAGTTGGCGTTTTTATAGCCACACACTTACATTTTAGATAAAAATACTTACTAAACACTTTATGAAAAAGTGATTGGGATTTGGAGTCTGACTCATTTATATCTGACTCCATCATTGTTTTTCTTTGGGCAGCTTCCATAGATTATGGTCATCTTATTTTAATCATTGGTGAAACAGAGGCAATTGTGCTTATTTTTTTAAACAATTGAATTAAAAATGACATGTGTGAAGTGTGAAGTATTTTGCATACTATGTATTCTCTTTAAACATTAATTTAATATCATATAACATAATTAGGCACAATTTCAGAGAAAAATAATTGGCATTCTTTTTCATTTTTTTTTGGCAAACCTTTCGAAATACAGCCATGCAAAGGTACACTACTCACAAAACAACTTTTCATTTGTTGTGGTTCACCATTCCCTTGTAACTTAATTCTCTCCCTCCAAGAAAATAGATGAACCCACGGGCAGGGTCGAGCAACTCTGGATGGGAGGAATGAACAACTCTGGACACCACCTTTATGAACTGTAACACTGTAACACTCACCTGGAAGGTCTGCAGTTTCAGTCCTGAGGCCAGCGAGACCAGGAACCCACCGGAAGGAACGAACAACTCCAGATGTGCCGCCTTTAAGAGCTGTAACACTCACCGTTAAGGCCTGCAGCTTCACTCCTGAAGTCAGCGAGACCATGAGCCCACCAGAAAGAAGAAACCCCGGACACATCTGAAAATATGAAGGAACAGACTCCAGACACACCATCTTTAAGAACTGTAACACTCACCGCGAAGGTCCGCGGCATCATTCTTGAAGTCAGCAAGACCAAGAACCCACCAATTCCGGACACAATCACAAAATTAAACCTCCTCAAATAGAGATTGACAGTAAATGTAATCTGTATTTCTGTTCATGCCATCATTGGTAGTGAATTATTTAAATATATAAAACATTCTCAAATAACTCATAACAGGACAATTACCTATCTAATTTTTGCTCTTTATAAAATGAAATGTAATCTCCGTCTAATAATTTAAATTGTTTTTACAATCTGGTCTAACAGGAATGTTTCTTATTCTTCCATATGTTCTTAACAGACTTACTTTGTTTTTACTTTTTGTCATCTTTATAAAATCACAAATCTCTACATTATGTATTTATGCAAAACATACACTTCTCTTGGATTGTCAAAACGAACTCTCTCCCTTAAAAACATTGTAATATTTAGCTTTAATAGCCTGTCCCCAGAGTGAAAGAAAACCTTATTATTTCTTACTATAAAAGCAAGAATGTGTCTATGCCTAATTTCTTTAATAACTGGGGCCAGTTCTCACTGTCTTTATATGAACCAAGGTCAAGGGTTCATGAGGTTTAATAGCACCTAACATTCTCTCCTAGGGAATAAAACTGTGAAAAGGTATCCTGAGTGGAAAATCCACTTTACGATTACTTTCAAGGTAGTTTTGATAGTATATTATCCTTTTCCCATCAATCAGGGATAATATAGATGTTTATATTGATTTTACTTACACTGAATTACTCTCAGAAATTCTACTTCATAAAAGAATGTCATAATTCATTTTGTTTTGCTTTTGAAAGCTCACATGTACATTCCAAAGCATACCTATTATCCAAGGCAGCCACTGAAAGACTTGGGGAATCAAGTAATAAATTGGAAATAATATTTAAATTATTTGTTAATTGAGCATTAGGTTTCTCTCAAACTTTCTCATAATGGTATATGAATTAACTCAAATTAAATATTTCAAACTTGTAGTAGTTACCAATAGTCTGAAAACCAGTCTTCTGATCGTCTTGATCAGCATAAGAAAATTGAAAGAGACCAAAAAAAACCATGTATATTATATAGATAGATAGATAGACTTAGAGCTAGAGTGAGTCAACTAACAATTGTATTTTGCTGCATTAGCAAAATATATTGCCCGGGATGCTACTACCGCATGAGGGTAATTAATTGTCTACTTTGTATTTTGACTAGGAAGAGTTTCTGAAATTTTTGCCTGCTATTTCCAAATATCTATTTTAGACAGAGTTCTCCAGAGAAACAGAATCAATAACTATATAAAAATATATAGAAAGATAATTATTATGAGGGATTTGGTCATGTGATTTTGGAGGCTGAGAAATCCCGTCAACTGCTGTTTGCAAGCCAGAGGCCCAGGAAGGCAAGTAGTGTAGTGCCAGTCCAAACCTCAAGGTCTGAGAACCAGGGGAATCAATGGCAGAAATTCCATTTTGAGTCCAAAGTCCAGAGAACCAAATAACTGATGTCCAAAGAAAGAAAAAGATGATGTCCCAACTCAAGCAGAGACAGCCAGTTCTCCCTTCCTCTGCTTTTTTGTTCTGTTTGGGTCCTCAATGCATTGGATGAGCTCCACCCACATTGGTGAGGGCAATCTTTACTCAGTCTATCAAAATGACACCTTCACAGACGCATCCAGAAATAATGTTTTATCCGCTATTTGGTCATTCCTTAGCCCAGCCAAGCTGACCTTAGAAAAATTAACCACTACATTTTCTATGCATGTGCACACTTCAAAGGCACTTCAAGTCCTGGAGGAATGAATTGTCTTTTCTGTAATAACATCAGATTAATTCAATAGGGAATCTCTCTTTTACTACTAATATGTTTAGTTTGAAGCCCTGGTTAACCTCCACACAATTTTAGGAGTAGAATTAACAAATAATACAGTGAGGATGCAGAAATGGCCAGAGGGAAGTTGTTTGATGGAGTTCTAGATCCACCTTTTCCACAACCACCCCAATTATGGGCTTAGTACTTAAAGAAGATTGCAAATAGGGGAAAAACATTTTCCTCTATTCTTCCCAAAGGCTTTTGAGTATGAGAATTAGTGGATTTCAATAGCACGTTAATAGCCATACATCTCTTCCACCAACCCACACTTCCTCCACCACTTCTCATATGGGATTCCTTTCACTGACCTGTACCTAGATTCTTTCTGCCTATGTGGCTCTCAGGAAGCTTCAGGATTTTTAACAGTTTATGTATCAGGACATTGTGCTGGGCTGCTCTTGGCGATCTTTCAAGTTAGACAAACTCCAAACAAAATTTTATAAATCTTATTTTTCAATGATTTCAGACTCCTCGTTTTGAAGTGGTAACTTTACAATAATAATATTTATGTTATTATAATATATATCACACATAATACATAACATTTAAAAAAATAATTGTTGCCATTTATTGAATCTATATGTATAGGAGTAGGTGTGGTGTGTGTATAAACACATCAGTATATATTAATATATACCAGGTACTATTAAACATAGTATAAGCATGCTTTTATTAATACTCAGAGCAGCTGGGCGTGGTGGCTCACGCCTGTAATCCTAACACTTTGGGAGGCTGAGGCAGGCGGATCACGAGGTCAGGAGATCGAGACCATCCTGGCTAACACGGTGAAACCCCATCTCTACTAAATATACAAAAAGTTAGCCGGGTGTGGTGGCGGATGCCTGTAGTCCCAGCTACTTGGGAGGCTGAGGCAGGAGAATGGTGTGAACCCAGGAGGCGGAGCTTGCAGTGAGCCAAGATCGTGCCACTGCACTCCAGCCTGGGCGACAGAGTGAGACTCCGTCTCAAAAAAAAAAAAAAATACTCAGAGCAACTTTGTAAAGAAACTATTGTCCAGAGGCAGTAAGTCAATCATGAGAAATGAAAGTTTACAGCTGTGGTAGAGATGTACGTGGCCCAGTCCTTCTGAAGAACTTCTTTCTCCAGCTACTGGGAGTGCTGCCAGCATAAAACTCTCAGCTGTGAGCTTTCTCCAGAAATTGTCCTCAGCTGAAGAGTGCTATCTTGTTGAAGAGCACTCCCTTTCTTAGGGCTGGACCTCATATGGTGAGTGGGATGATACCGTGATATCATGGCTCAGAAACTCTTGTTCCAAATGGAACAACTCCAAAGTGTCATTCCAGCTTCCAAGTTCCCTGTGGGGTTTGCTGAGGCTTTTGTTCTTCCCCTGGCCAATCTTGATTTTTTTTTTTACCCACTAAGGTGTAGATCCAGAAAGTATTCCCCAATTAACTTCTGGCAAGCTGATCTGTGACTTCAGAGTCAGCTTCTTGTAAAACCCAACCTTCAACGGTGACCATCTAATCTATTGTCAAATCCGAGATTTTTTTTTTTGTAAGTGAAAGAGTGTGCTAATTGGATGGAATGCAGGTGCAATAGGCACAGACTACAATAGTCCCAGGTGAATTGAGATTTTGTGGTCACTCCAGGTTTCAGGTAATAGAAACACGGGTTCAATACCACCTTACTAGTTGTGGAATGTTGGGCTGATTATTAACCTTGCTAAGTCTCACTCTTCTCATTTGTAAATGCAAGATAATAATACCATCTCTACTGGAGAATTGGAATATTGGGAAGATAATATGTATAAAATGTTGATATATTGCCCAGGACTTACATGGGAGATGTTATCATTATACTCAATTTATAGACGATATGAAGCTCAGAGAGATTAAGTAAGCCCAAAATTCACACATCTTATTACATGGAGCAGTCAAAATTCAAACTCAGTTTTCTAATTCTAAAAACCATCTTGATAATCTATCAATTTGTTACACTATTTTTCTGGTCATTTTAAGAATTTATTATTTGAAACTTAAAACACTACTCCTTAACTATCTGATGTAATGAGTACTCTTTTGATTATAATTGACAAAAACACACACATTCAAACAAGCTTAATCAACAAAGAAATTTATTCACTCATGTAGTAGAAAACCTCAGGGGGTGCTCTCTGTACAAGCCTGGCTGCTCTCATGCCCTGCAATGGTAATGTAAGAATTTTGCCTCTCTCATTCTATATTTGTTCTATTATTTTCCGTGTTGACTTTGTTTTCAGTCTGACTTTTCTACACGTTTGGAAAGATGGCTGTTAGCAGCTCCAGGCCAATATAGCATGCAATTCCAGATCTGAGAAAAGCAAAATTCTTTCTTTTCCACCATTTATACTAATCCCTTAAAAGAGTTTTTGGGTCCTATCTGGGACATGTACCTTTCTGAGGTACACTTTGACCTCTCTTCTTAAACCTCCAAATTTTTCTGCCCTTTCTCTCTCAGCTAATATTCTTGTTTTTCATTTTACAGGGAAAATGAAAGCAGCCAAAAGAGAATTTCCTGATGCTCCCACCATCAAATCCATCAGCATACCTGCCTCTGAAATCACATTCTTTGCTTTCCTTCCTTTGAGAGTGGCTGGTCTGTCAGTATTTCTAGCAAAGACCACACCACATCCTATCCTCTTACCAGAGAGCATTTTCCTGAAAATGACGATTTCTGCGTTCCCCCTTATGTTTCCCCCTATACTGAATCATTCCGATTATCATTTGTTTCAAATGAAGAATTATAATTCAACTATTTCTTTTAGTGCAATGAGTGAGAGATAAAGGTTACATTTAACATTAAGATTGGTTCAGAACATAAAAGTTCTTTTTGCACCGTGTTGGAAACTGTTGAAGTACTATCTTCACAGCGTAACTCTCCGTACATGCACTTCATTGCTCCTCAATTTTTCTGCCTTTCTCCAACACAATACCTGATACTGCCCTACTTTCTATTCTCTTGTATCCTTATTTTTTCCTAATTGAGAGAGAACAGTGATGGTAATTAAACAATTGAGTGAAAACCAATTCCTGCGATAGTGCTAGATGCTTAATAGGTAACATCTTCTGCTCGAGTTACTGAGACTTCACCTACTTTGAAGCTACTGATCTCAAAGAAGCTTAAGGAATAATTATGGAGGAGATAATTTTAGGTAAATTTGAATTTATAAGGAAATGTTGTCCAGGAAAATTATAGGGTCCATTTTTTACCAGGCTTGAGACATATTTGGTACAGAGAGTATTAGGGAGTGGTTAGTCAGAATGGCTGCTTTGGAAAATGAATTTAACTGTAAGAAGTCTGTTGAGTACATATAACAGTGGAATAAAATGGTGGTGGAGGTGAAAGATCAGTTCATATGATACATTTTGACTTCAAATTTCTCGTCTCTGAGGATTAAGAAGGTACCAGTGAAGAAAGGTTTGATTTTCAAAGAGAAGCAGCCAATGTCCCATGACACCATTAATAAAAAAAAATAGATAACACTTTAGAGTTTGCAAAGTTCATTTATTTTGATTATGTAATTCAAAAGTGACACAACCTTATGAGGTAGCAATTGCTATACTTTAATAATGAATGGAAACTAAGAGAAATTAAGTGAGATTTACCTTGGATTTCCAAGGTAATCCCATAAGCGAGTCAAACCCAGGCTATAGGCAAAGAAATTGGCCACTCAGTTCTACAATATGTATGTTCACCATTGTAGAGTGCTGCTGTCTTTTGAAAAATGGCCCTGAGTGAAACATGCTGTCCAGTATTCACATTTTGTATAGTTTTTAACCAAAATAAATGAGGGCTTGCCCTATGTAAACAATAGAATGTGGCGTTTTTCTTTTTCTCTAGGAATGTGTAGTCTGTAGGAAGCCAACTTTCTGAACATGAAGTTCAAGCATTCTGAGGACTCTAAGTTTGAGGAAGCCCAAGCTAGCCATATGGAGAGTCCACAAAAAGAAAAAGAGCTATAGTGTCTGCTCTTTTAGCAATCCCACCTGAGGTGTCAGACATGTGAATGAAGATACTTTCTTGGTTGTCCAGTCTAGTTGAACTTTCAGATGACTCTAGATTCTGCTACCATCTGACCAACACTCCAGGAGATATCTCAAGTGAGAAATAACCAGTTGAGCTCAGTCAACACACATTACCATAAATAATTATTTTGGTTTCCAAGTTTGGGGGTGACTTTTTGTGTAGCATTAGATAAACAAAACCCTGCTTATCTCCAAAGTTGGGGAAGGGGAGAAACAAAAGAATCACATAAGGTAAATAAGGGGCATTGCTTTGCAAACTTTGAAAAATACTATATACAATGCATGGATGTAGTGAAATACATAAAGACTCAGAAGTCATAAGCCCTGAGTTTGAAACCTCCTCTTGATATTTTCTCACTCTGTGACTCTTGGATAAATCACACTCAATTTCTCCTAGTCTAAATGTGATTATCAATAAAATTATGATAATAAGGCCTTGCTCTGTTTAGAGTCTTAGGTGAGAAAATGTGGTTTGTAAATGATTTTGTGAATTTTATAAAATTATACAGATATATTTCATATTGCTATTATTATAATTAAAAATACAGAGTTAGGATAATTTCATCCTGTGCACAAGAAGCAGATTATGTTTGAATTAATCAAATAGAATTTGAGCACAGGAGTCATTCACCCCTTCATTCAACACGCTATTTAGCACTGAGTATACATCAGAAACTGTGCTCAAGTCTTGGTATCTGACACTGAAAAAAACAGATAAAAAAACTGTCTACATGGAGCTTACACTCTAACACTTACCAAATAAATGATGTCCATTTAGTCGGCTTCTATTAACATTATAGGAATCAAATTATGCTCTGATTATTCTCAGTCATCATAGTGCTGGTGGTGGCAAAGTGACAAATTTTGTGGAGATAGGGGCAGAGAATTTTTATTTTGAAACAGTAATAGAATAATTAATTATTAATTCTTGTGAGAATGACAGAAAATTCTATCACACTGTTTGGCAAAGGGAGAAGGGGAAAGTCAGCATCATATTGTTCTTGGAAAATAACAATTTCCTAGGTTTCTCTAGTTTAAAAATAGTGAAATATGAAATTTGATGTTTCTTGCGGAAATGTAGTAAAACAGACACTCATCTGAAAAGGTTACTTCCCTCCTAGTGTAAGCATTTGAGGACTCAAACATGGACCAGTTTTCCATGAAAATAATTTGCTTTAAATTATTCAAAGTGCCTGAAAGGGAAAACTATATTATTACATAGGCCTATCACGTAGAAAAATACAAAATCCACAAAGTGGACATCTGAGTACTGCCTTTCTAGGTTTACAGCTTGAAATGTCAGAAATAATAGCACTTGAAAAGATATGAATTTAGAATGGTGTGATGTAGCCAAAGTGAAAAGTATCACTTACATGCTTACCAACAACCTGCAGGTTTGAGATAAAAAGGAATCCTGTTTCAATTCCATGAAAGATGGTGTGCCTACTATACATCATGTAAATGAATTTCTAAAAACTTATATGCTTAGAAGTTATTTCATGATTGCTAACCCTCAGAAAGAAGATGACCACAGGAGTCAGATAATTCTAAATCATAAGGGAGTTGAGGGAAATGACATTTGTTGAATGAAATGGGTAAGGAAAGGAAACGGATCCAATTGTTTACAGCTACATTGTGTTATTTAGGAAGGAATCACTGCCTTCTGAATATTGAAAAGCATTTCTGAAAAGGTCAAGTTTAAGGCTGAATCTTGATCTTAGCAAGTGCTCATGAAAATATTTTTATTTCTAGTGATATTACATTTGACCATAATATGAAGAAGAAGAGTGATAGCAATACAAATGATGATGTGAGGGCATATGCAAATTATCTCCCCCACATAAACAATTAAAAATGTGCAAAAATAATCAGAATCAGCTCTTTTAAAACTCTGGAAATTAGCCAAATGCTTTGAGGGATCTAAAAATAATTTATTTAATAAACAAAGAACCAAAAGAGAAAGAAAGGTTAAATTATGGTAAGAACTGTAAGCTTGGTGGTATTTTAGGCTGCTTATTCTCATCACCCTCTCTCAAGTTATACAGTTACCTTGAAAATAAACATCCCTCAATCGCTGACTACTAGCAATCTGGCAGCCTTCAGCTTAGTTCCCTGAGAATTATTGTTTGACCTGGAACGTGGCTTCCTGCAAGATACAACTTATAAAACTGTCTTTATTTGACCTCATTTGTAACTGGCCCATGAAAGTCTTTTTAACTAGCATACTTATTGAAAACATTGAAAGGCAACTTTTTAAAATCATGGTAGACTAAAGTGGTAGATAACAGTTAAGGCAAATAATATGGTAGCTTGAAAACTTAAAAAGCTAGGAAATATAAATAGGAGTTTTGAAGACTTCTGACATATTACTGGCACTATAGAAGGTCACACACGTATGATTGTGCACATTCTAAGCACAATGCTTATTCTCAAGAAAAATATGAGAAGGCCCTAAGCTTTCACCTCCAGATGACCATGAAGCTATGGGAAAGCAGAATGTGAAGACTAAGGCAGAGTTGTCAACCTACCGGCTGGGTGTTGAAGGTGTGCCCTGAAATGCACACAGAGCCACTCAGCAGAGACCGGAAGAGTTATGGGCTCCAGGTCTTTAATGAAATTTCTGTCTATTCTTTCACTGACTACTAAGTTAAGCAAACAGAGACTTCAGTGTTCAAACATGATGACAAACAAAAACTTTAGACAATTAGTTCAGAAAAGTCACTAAAGAAACAAATGACAAAAACAAATGGCAAAATCAACAAAATTTGAAGGGACTAAAATATAATTTTCAGAGTTGTCACATTTTTATTATTTAAAATGTTCAGTTTTCAACAAAAATTTATTAGGCATACAAAAAGTAAGACAATATGGCTCACACACAGGAAAAACACGCAATCAATAAAACTGTCCATGAGAAAGCTCAGGTGTTTGGCTTAGTAGACAAAGGTTTTTAAATCCACCATGATGAAAATTTGTTTAATAACTAAAATAAGCTATTTCTAAAAAGCTAAAGGAACATTTGAGAATAAATGTCTCACCAAATAAATAATACTAATAAGCAATTGTATAAATATATATTAATTACAGAATTAAAATGTATAATAACTGTATAAAAATGTACTAGAGTGACTTAACAGCAGATTTTAGAAAGCAGGGAAAAGAGTTAGCTAACTTAAATATAGGTCAATGAGATTATCTAATGCAAGAAACAGAAGGAAAAAGAAATAAAGACAAATGGACAGACTCAGAGATATCATCAAGCATAGCAAAATATGTATAATGGAAGTCCCAAAGGGAGAGGGAACAGAAGAGAAATGGGGCATAAAAATATGTGAAGAACAATACAAAACATACTTAAAAACTTCCAAAATTTGACAAAGAATATTAACTTGCACATCCAAAAAGATCTATGACTCCCAAGTAGGATAAACTCAAAGAGATTCACATTTTTAAAAAATTATAATTAAACAATCAAAAGAAAATGACAAAGAAAGAATCTGAAAACAAAAAGAGAGGAGCAACTCATCATGTGCAAAAGAGTCTGAATAATTTTTCACTGATTTTTCATTAGAAACCATGGAAACCAGAGGCAGTGAGATGACATTTTTAAAGTTTTGAAAGTAAATGACTATCAACGAATAATTTCATAACCAACAAAACTATACTTCAAAAATGAAAAAGAAGTGAAAATATTCTCACTTATTCTCTGAAACCAAAACTGACAGAATCTCTTACTAGCAAAGTTTCCATGCAAGAAATATTAAAAGAGGTATTTCAATATGAAATAAAATTACACTTGACAATATCTAGAGTCCATATAAACAAATGCAGAACAATAGAAAAAGCAAAAATTAGAAATATATGAAAGACAATGTAAATGTATTTTTTGTAACTATTTTCTTTTCTCCTACCTGATTCAAAAATAAACTGCATAAAGCAATGGTTATAAGTAATACAATGAATAAAGATGTAATGAATAAAGATGAATACAATGAATTCATACATTGAATAAAGATGTAATATGTATAGTAATACAACAAAGGAAGAAGGAGAGAACAATGCTATTTAGAATCAAAATTTTTGTATGCTATTAAAATTAAGTTGATAGTAAATCTAACTAGATTTTCAAAAATTAAGATACTACTTGTAGCCCATCAGGCAACCCTAAGAAAATAACTTACAAACTATAATAAAATCAGTGATAAGGGGATTAATACAGTGCATTAAAAATATCTATTGACTAAAGAAAAGGCAATCTTAGAAAAATAGAGAAATAAAAAAGCAGAAGACATATAGAAAACAACTGGTAAACTGGCAAACATAAATTCTATATATCAGTAATTACATTAAATGTATATAGATTAAAAACTCCATTTAAAATAGAGTTTGCAGATGGGTTTAGAAAAAACATAATCCAACTATCTGTTTTATTCAGCAGACACACTTTATATTCAAAGACACAAACAGTTTGAATACAAATGACTGAATAAGATAAATCATTCAAACAGTAATCAAAAGAGACCTGGTCATAATAACACACAAAACAAACTTCAAGAGATAAATTGTGATTAGTGAGAAAGAGCATTTTACAATTATAGAAAGGATTAATACATCAAGAAAACATAACAATAAGCACATATGCATCTATCAAGAGAATCCCAAAATACATGAAGGAAGAAATAAAGTAGGCAATATAAAACTTCCCTCCACCAATACACACATAATCCCTACAATAGATGGCTTTACTGATACATTCTACCAAATGTTTAGAAGAGTTTACACTAATTCTTCACAAACACACTCAAAAAATAGAACAGGAGGGATTATTTTCCAACTCTTTTTATAAGACTAGTAAAACCAGACAAATACGTCACAAGTAAAACAAATTAAGAATCCCTATTTTTTTTTCCCAAGGCGGCAGATTAGAGGCTTTTATGATGCCTCAGCCACTTGGAAGTAGTAAAATAGTGCATAAAGATCAACTCTGTGAGCTTTAATTCAAGAAGAAAATGGGAAACCATCAGAATTGTGAAGGGCACTCCAGATCTTGTGGAGGAGAAAGAACACTGACAGACAGTCCCCATGATGGTATCTGTCTGGTAAACATGATTGAAGCTCCAGGAGGATATGAGAGAAGCAGAGATCCTCCCTATGTGACTCATTTTTCCAGTGGGAACTCAAGCGACCCAGGTCGAGAAACAGCACTGTCTTTCTCCCAAGCCCTAGAGCCAGCATGGGGAGAGGCTTGGAGATGTTGTGAGGGAAAGACACTGGGAAAAGCTGCAGACATTTTCCCAGACCTGGGACCAAGAACAGCATACCATTTTTAATCCAGGCATACAAAGTCAGGCATTCTTTGGCAACTTGGCAGCATGACCACTCAGGAATTTTATTCTTGAGGCAGAGATTGGGGGGGCCTGCTCTAGAGTGGGATAAGGGCCTCCACAACCAGAGCTATGGAAAGCACATCCAGAGCGGACACTGAAATTGTGCTTTCCCTTGTCACAAGCCTGGGGCAGGAGGAGTGCTGCTACAGCTGCAGTTTCTTCTGGATGGTGAGATTTGCAGCCAAGGCCAGCCTAGTGACCTGGAATTGGTCTGTGTGTGCCATTTCTAGATGTCTCCATCTGCTCTACCAAGATAATAGTGCAGTGAGGTCCTCTGCTCAAACCCCAGGCAAAAATTCAGGCATTTGGCGCAGCCGCTTTCCTGGACTAGCAGCCTTAGCCACTCAACTCTTCATGAACATAGATTGTGGTGCAGAGCAGCCCCCTACACTTTATGGCAAGGCAGATCTCCAGGCATTAGGAGCATCTGTTCACTGGGTTCAGAGCCTAACCTGCTCCACCCTTCCTGTACAGAGATCCTGGTGCAGTGGGGCTTTCTCTGCTCCATACCCAGGCAGGCCTCCAGACATTTACTCACTTGAATCAGCAGCCTGACTCACCACTATTCTTTCCGTTCAGAGCTACTGGTGCAGGGAGGCCTTCTCTGCTTCATGCCTGGGCAGATCTCCAGGCAGTTAAAGCACCTGTTCTTCTGGTTCAGCAGCCGGAGCCACCCAACCTTCCTGGACGTAGATCATGGTACAGAATGGCCCTCTCTACTCCACACTCAGGCAGACCTCCAGACATTCAGAGCACCAACTTGCCTGGATCAGCAGCTTGATATGCCCCACTCTTCCTGGTTAGAGGTCTTGGTGCAGGGGCCTTTGCTGCTACATGCTCAGGTAGATCTCCAGGCATTCCAAGCTTCTGCTTGCCTGGTTCAGCAGCCTGAATCACCCCACCTCTTCTGTGCAGAGATCTTGGTGCAGTTGGTTTCCCTACTCCTAATTCAGGAAGGTGGGTGTTCTCAATGCCTGGAGAACTTCCCACAATCCTGTTGTATTAGTCTGTTCTCAGGCTGCTAATAAAGACATACTTGGGACTGGGTAATTTATAAAGGAAAGAGGTTTAATTGACTCACAGATCCACATGGCTGGGGAGGCCTCACAATCATGGTGGAAAGCAAAGGAGAAGCAAACACGTCTTACATGGCAGCAGGCAAGAAAGAGTGTGTGCAGGGGAACTCCCCTTTATCAAGCCATCAGACCTCATGAGTCATGAGACTTATTTACTATCACAAGAACAGCATGGGAAAGACCCACCTCCATGATTCAATTACCTCCCACTGGGTTCCTCCCACAACACATGGGGATTGTGAGAGCTAAAATTCTGGATGAGATCTGAGTGGGGACACAGGCAAATCATATCATTCCACCCATGGCCCCTCCCAAATCTCATATCCTCATATTTCAAAACCAATCATGCTTTCCCAACAGTCCTCCAAAATCTTAACTCATTTCAGCATTAACTCAAAAGTCCACAGTCCAAAGTCTCATCTAAGACAAGGCAAGTCCCTTCTGCCTATGAGCCTGTAAAATCAAAAGCAAGTTAGTTACTTCCTAGATACAATGGAGATACAGGCATTGCGTAAATACAGCCATTCCAGACGGGAAAAATTGGCAAAATGAAGAGGCTACAGGCCCCATAGAAATCCAAAATCCAGCAGAGCAGTCAAATCTTAAAGCTCCAAAATGATCTCCTTTGTCTTCATGTCTCACATCGAGGTCTCACTGATGCAAGAGGTAGGCGCCCATGACCTTGGGCAGCTCTGCCCCTGTGTCTTTACAGGGTACAGCTCCCTTTCTGGCTGCTTTCATGAGCTGGCATTGAGTGTCTGCAGCTTTTCCAGGTGCATGGTGCATGTTGTCAGTGGATCTACCATTCTGGAGTCCGGACGATGGTGGCCCTCTTCCCACAGCTCCACCAGGCAGTGCCCCAGAGGGTGCTTGACTCCACATTTCCCTTCCACTCTGCGCTAACAGAAGTTTTCCATGAGGACTCTGCCCCTGCAGCACACCTCTGCCTGGACATCCAGACATTTCCACAAATTCTCTGAAATCTATGTGGAGGTTCTCATATCTCAATTCTTGATTTCTGTGTACCTGGAGGCCCAATGCCACATGTAAGCTGCCAAGGCTTGAGACTTTCACCCTCTGAAGCAATGACCTGATCTATACACTGGCTCCTCTTAGCCACAGCTGGGATGCAGGGGAGCAAGTTTGGAGAGTGCTCAAAGCAGCAAGGCCCTGGACCCAAACTATGAAGCCATTTTTCCTCCTAGGCCTCTGGGCCTGTGATGGGAGGGGCTGCCATAAAGACCTCTGACATGCCCTGGAGATATTTTCCCCATTGTCTTCATGATTAACATTTGACTCCTTATTGTTTATGCAAATTTCTGCAGCCAGCTTGAATTTCTCCTCAGAAAATGGGTTTTTCTTTTCTAACATATCATCAGGCTACAAATTTACCAAACTTGTATGATCTGCTTCCCTTTTAAACATAAATTTCAACTCCAAACCATACCTTTCTGAATAAATAAAACTGAATGTTTTTAACAGTACCCAAGTCACTTCTTGAATGCTTTGCTCCTTAGAAATTTATTGCACCAGATGCCCTAAATCATCTCTCTCAAGTTCAAAGTTCCACAAATCTTTAGGGCAGGGGAAAAATGTTGCCAGTCTCTTTGCTAAAGTATAACAAGAGTCACCTTTGCTTCAGTTCCCAACAAGTTCCTCATCTCTATCTGAGACCACTTCAGCCTGGACTTTATTGTCCATATCACTATCAGTATTTTGGTCAGAGCCATTCAATAAGTCTCTAGGAAGTTCCAAACTACCATGTCGTTTTTTTTCTATACAACCAGAAAAAAACTATTTAATAATTCATATGAAACTCCAAACAGCCAAAATAGCCAAAGTAATCTTAATCACAAAGAACAAAGCCAGAGGCATCATGTTTGCTGACTTCCAAATATACTATCAGGTGACGGTAACCAAAATAGCATGGTACTGGTGCCAGAACAGCATGGTACTGGTACAAAAACAGACACATAGACCAATGGAACGGAACAGAGAACCCAGAAATAAAGCTGCACACCTACAGATATCTGATCTTTAACAAAGTTAAGAAAAATAACCAACAGGGAAAAGACTACTCCGTATTCAATAAATGGTGTGGGCTAGTTGGGTAGCCATATGTAGAAGAATAAAACTCAACCCCACCATTCACCATATAAAAAAATTAACTGAGGTTGGATTAAAGATTTAAACACAAGACCTCAAACTACAAGAATCCTAGGAAACGCCATTCTGGACACTGGCCTTGGGAAATAATTTATGACTAAGTCCTCAAAAGCAATTGCAACCAAAACAAAAATTGACAAGTGGGATCTAATTAAATTAAAGAGCTCTACACAGCAAAAGAAATTATCAACAGAGAAAACAGGCAACCTACAGAATGAGATAAAATACTCACAAACTACACTTCCAATAAACGTCCCAATACCCCAAATCTATAAGAAAATTAAACAAATTAATAAGCATAAAACAAATAACATGAATACAAGTGAACAAAAGACATGAATAGACACCTCTCAGAAGAAGACATAAAAGTGGTTTACAAACATATAAAAAATTCTCCACATCACTAATCATCAGAGAAATGCAAATCACTGCAATGAGGTTCCATCTCACATCAGTCAGAATGGATATTATTAAAACATCAAAAAATAACAGATGCTGGCAAGGCTATGGAGAAAAGGGAATGCTTGCACACTTTCAGTGGAAATCTAAATTAGTTCAGCCACTGTGGAAAGTAGTTTGGAGCTTTTTTAAAGACTTTAAAAGGGAACTACAATTTGACCCAGCAATCCCATTACTGGTTATGTATCTAAAAGAAAACAAATTGTTTTAGCAAGAATACATAGGCTCTCATATGTGCTTCGCAGTCCTATTCACAATAGCAGCCATGAAATCAACCTAGGTGCCCATTAATGGTGGAATGGATAAAGAAAACATGGCAAATATACATGATGGAACACTACACAGCCATAAAAAGAACAAAATCATGTCCTTTGCAGCAACACAGATGTAGCTGGAGGCCATTATCCTAAGCAGATTAATGCAGTAACAGAAAACTAAATACAGTCTTTTCTCAATTATAAATTGGAGCTAAATATTAGGTACTCATAAACATAAAGATGGCAACAATAGACACTGGGTACAGCTAGCAGGTGGAGTGAAGGAGGAGTAGAGGCAAGGGTTGAAAAACCTGCTTTTGTGTACTATGTTTAGTACCTTGGTAAATGGGATCACTTATACCCCAAACCTTAGCATCAGACAATATATCCAAGTAACAAAGCAGCACATATGCCCCATGAATCTAAAATAAATATTGGAAAAAACTCTGATATTCCTTATAAATACAAAGCAAAGAAAAAAAATCCTCAATCAAATACTAGCAAACTAAACCCAATAACTTTAAATAGGATTACACAACATGACCAAGTAGGATTTATCCCAGATACACAAATATGCTTCAACAATGGAAAATCAATTAATAAAATATGTATATTAATAAAATAAAGGATCAAAAAGGATTATCATGACAATAGTTGTAGAAAAATCTTTGGAGAAAATCCAACACTCATTCATATTAAAAAACCTATGACACTTAACAAAAAATATGACACTTAAAACACAAGCAACACGAGAAAAATATTGTTAAATTGGACTTCATTAAAATTAAAGGCTTTTGATCTACAAAATACACAACTTATAAAGGGGAAAACCAATGTATAGCAGGAACCAAAATATTTTCACATTGTATGTCTGATAAGGACTTATGCATAATATATAAAGAACTGTTGCAACTAAAAAATCAAAAGACAAATAACTCAATTAAAAAATGAGCAAGTAATTTGAAAGACTTTATGCCAAGGAAGATATACAAGTGGCCAATAGGCACATGAAAATATGCTGACTGTTATTAGCCATTAGGGAAATGCAAATCACAATCATAATGAGATGAAACTTCACAAATACCAGAATAACTATAATAAAAAAGACAGATAATAACAAGTGTTGTTGAGGATGTAAAAGAATTAGAACTCTCATACATTGCTTCTCAGAATGTAAAACAGTTTCTTTGAAAAACAGTTTAGAAATTCTGCATAAAATCAAACATAGAGCTGCCATATGACCCAGAAATTCTACTTGTACGA
Source organism: Homo sapiens (assembly GCF_000001405.40). NCBI lineage: Eukaryota > Metazoa > Chordata > Mammalia > Primates > Hominidae > Homo > Homo sapiens. The sequence continues at coordinate 15,139,311 of NC_000018.10, forward strand.
ATATACCCAAGAGAACTGACCATGTCTGTTCTATTTGTTCACACAAATACTTATACATTAATGTTCATAGTAGCATTATTCATAATAGACCAAAAGTGAAAATAATTCAAGCGTCCATTAACTGATGAGTGTGTAAATAAAATGTATTTTTAAATCTAGAATTAAAACCTTGAATGTCAATACTCAAAAATTTCTATTTTAAAAAATATATGGTTATCCATTTCATTATATTTTCTGCAGTTTTTTTCCATCCATATGTGGAAAAGATAAATTGTATGAGAAAAGAGGACAGAGTTCATAAAGAAAGACTAGTGTTCCACAAAACCCTTAAATTCACTAGAAGAGAAGGTCCTTGACTCAGCGACCATGAAGAAGAGTCCAATCAAGCCACTTGAAATTCTTAAACTTTTCTTCTTGCCACCTGTTTTGGATAAAATGCAAACGAAAATTGCTTATCTAGGTTCTCTGTAGTCATTCAACATAGGCTCACCAAGTTAAAAGTTTTAATTCTAGATTTTAGACTCTGAGAAATGCAAATCAAAACCACAATGAGATACTAACACCAGTCAGAATGGCTATTATCAAAAATAAAAAAATGAAAGACGCTGGCAAGGTTGTAGAGAAAAAGGGATGCTTATACACAGTTGGTGGGAGTGTAAATTAGTTCATCCATTGTGGAAGACAGGGTGGTGATTCTTCAAAGACCTAAAGAAAGGAATACCACTCAACCCAGTAATCCCATTACCTGTACTAGTCTGTTCTTATGCTGTTAATAAAGATGTATCTGAGACTGGGTAAATTATAAAGAAAAGAGGTTTAATGGACTCACAGTTCCACATGGCTGGGGAGACCTCACAATCATGGCAGAAAGAGAATGAGGATCAAAGTCACATCTTACATGGAGGCAGGCAAGAGAGAACTTGTTAACTTGTGCAGGGCAACTCCCATTTATAAAACCATCGGATCTCATGAGATCTATTCCCTATCAGGAGAAGAGCATGGGAAAGACCTGCCCCCATGATTCAATTATCTCCCACTGGGTCCCTCTCATGACACATGGGAATTACGGGAGCTATAATTCAAGATGAGATTTGGGTGGGGTAACAGCCAAACCTTATCAATACCCAAAGGAATATAAATTACTCTATTATAAAGACACATGCATGCATATCTTCATTGCAGTACTATTCACAAAGCAAAGACATGGAATCAATCTAAATGCCCATCAGTGATAGACTGGATAAAGAAAATATGGTACATATTCATCATGGAATACTATGCAGCCGTAAAAAGAATGAGATCATGTCCTTTTTAGGGACATTATGGAGCTGGAGGCCATTATCCTTAGCCAACTAATGTAGAGACAGAAAACCAAATACCACATGTTCTCACTTATAAGTGGGAGCTAAATGATGAGCACACATGGACACAGAGGGTAACAACATCCATGGGGCTTTTCACAGGCTAGAGGGTAGAGGGAGAGGATCAGGAAAAATAACTAATGGGTATTAGGCTTAATACCAGGGTGATGAAATAATCTGTACAATAAACCCCCAAGACACAAATTTACCAATGTATCAAACCTGCACTTGTACTTGTGAACTTAAAATAAAAGTTAAAAGAAAAGTCTAAGAGTTCATTAAACATGGTAAAGAGCAAAGAAGATTATAAGTAGGTTAACAGTGGATAGAGAGATAATGATCAAAACTAATTTTAATAAGTAATTGAACCATTGGTTGTTTCTTCTCAACTTCCTTTCTGGAATATAGACTTTATGAGGGCAAGCCCCATGATATTTATAAAATTATCTCAATAACCCTCTTACCTTGGAGGTGGGCACTCTAATAAATAAATAGATGAAAGGCGAAGAAAAATGAAAAAACAATGTGTTTGAAGAAGTGACTGTGTTTCTCTGTGTGTGTGTGCATGTGTGTGTGCAGAATCTGTAGGATGTTATGAGCTTATTGATTAGCTTATTGATTATTAGAATGGGAAGGAAAATTTAGGGTCAGATTAAAATGGGCCTTGAATTATAATTATCACATTGGATATGTTTATCATTTGTAGAAAATTTGAAGTCATTTCAGGTGATTTAGCCATGATGTTTTTATTCTCTTCTTCTTTAAACTTACAATGTGATATAAAAAGTAAGGGGCCTCTCACTCAAATCACAGTGAAATTTTTAAATCTTCCTTGCCTAAAAATTAGTTGATATCAGACTTTTAAAACTTGCTTGTCATTTAACCCTTCTTCATCTTCTATTCTCCTTAAACAGTTAACCATGTCTTTAGACATGAGTCTATACCTTGAATTAAAACAAAAGGAAAATGATCAATTTTCACCAGATCCAGAATTTTCTATTCTGAAAGTGGTAAAATGAACAGGAACTCCTTTTCTATTCCATTTAGTTACAATGTAAGCTAATTTGAATTATACGGATTTTACTTAGCTCCATATGTTATATGAGTAAATTCTCGATTTGTGTGTAAAACTCAAAATCACCTTTCAAATATTGCCATCTGGAGGCATTGTAAACTTTGTTTATGCCATTGCCTTGTGCAGGTATTATTTGAGTTTGTAAACACCGTTATTAATTATTTTTCATCTGGATTGATTTTGATTTGCATGAGGTTTTACTAATGTGTTCCCATACAAAACACACAATTACTCTTCACATCATATAGTTCTGGGCACCACGTCAAATATGTGAGAAAAATTTCCCCAAATGTATTCTATATATGGGTTCAACTACTACCACATGTTGTTTCAGCTTTATATTGAATTAGTAAATTCTCTGTGAAATGTCATCTATTTCTACACATATGCCCCTCGGGACATCTGTCCTATTTGTCAATACCACAATCTGGGCATCTGTCAAAATTACAGGCTATACCGACGTTTAGGCCCCTACATTGATTGGCTCTATCACAGGGTATGTAAAATAAACAAAGTTTAAAACATCATCAAAATGGGACCATATGTCTAAACCTATCTCATGACCCTTAGCAGAAGGAATGAGTGTTACTACGAATTGTCCCATCTTTCCGGGAACCTGAACTAGACACAGTAAAGAAGTCTCTTGCTAAATAAATGGGTCCTTCTGGCTCTACAGTAGGTCAATGTAGATATTAGTCTGCTACCTTATGTGTTCTTTTTATTTTCTGGCAGCTGACAAATAAAATTACTTCAAACTCTAAGATGAGAAAACTAAAGTTTGAAAATCCAAATTTCTTATGCCATCTTTGAAGGAATTGCAAATGTCTTAAGCCATCTCTGAATGAATGACATTCAGAAACAGCAAAATATTGACATCCTTACCTTCAAGTGTCCCTGTTATCTTCAAGCAACCCTGTTCCAACAGCGAAATTTTAGCCTTGTGAAACAATCCCCAGGGACTGTGAAAATATGAATTGATTTTAAAAGATGGCTGGTTAGCTGACAGGGTCTCTGCTTTCCAAAGCATTGCCAATTCAGTGTTGAACTGCTCATAGGGGTTATTTTAAACTAACCCAACTGATGGTATAACAGTCTTAGGGTTTCTGAACCAACTTGCTTATATGAGCAAGGAATGAAATTATAAGACAGACACGGAGGAATTCTGAAAATTCCTTGTGGACAAAGAGGAGTTGGGCAGAGAAAAGCTTGTGCACTCACTCTTTCAGACTGTGTGAAAAGAAATGAAGTCCTTTTTTACTTTTATTTTATTTTCAAGTCATTATTTTTCAATCGTACTCCTTTGGTTGCTAGTGAAGTAAATATTGTTCCCAAGTGACTTTAATTTCCCCAAATTACAGGAACTATAAATAAACATTCACAAATTTTGCATTTATATTATCAAGTAAGATATTTTTATACAATCATCTTTAAATTGGGTTTGTTTATTTGAATACATTTCATGAACATCTTAGTTCAGCTTAGCATTTTAATGCTACTGAAATGTTTTATCAGAAATAATGGGCCTAATTATGAACTCATGATAGGTCACCAATTTCTGGATTTTCTCCCAAATCACCATCAAGTCTGTGAAAAGAGCCGTTGAATCATTTGTTTTTAAACATAAACCAAGCAAACCTTTCTAGGAACTGAAAACTATATTTTCCCATTAATGTGATCATTTCAGGAATTTTGCTAAATAAGGGGTCAATATAAACCAACAAAAATTACCCATACTCACCATCAAGAGGTAGTCGTGGTAACTTATTTTTGTATTTCCTTCAATTCTTTTCTAAGCTTTTTTTTTTCAACTTTTATTTTAGAATTGGGGGTATGCATGCAGGTTAGCTGCAAAGGTATATTGAGTGATGTTGAGGTTTAGAGTATGAATCAATCTTTCACCGAGGTAGTGGGCATAAGATCCAAAAAATAGTTTTTTGGCCCTTGCCTCTCACCCTCTTTCCATCCTCTAGTAGTCCGCAGTGACTATCCTTTCCACCATTATGACCATGAATACACAATAGTTAGCTCCTGCTTATAAGTGAGAACATGCAGTATTTGGTTCTATTTCCATGTTATCTTGCTTAGGATAATGGCCTCCATATGCATCCATTTTGCTGCAAATAACCTAATTTGGTTCTTTTTTATGGCTGTGTAGAATTCCAGTGGTATACATGAGCCACTTTTTCCTTATCTACCAGAAGATATTTTTAACAACTACTTTAGTGGAGAATGAAATCACCTTTGGTCAGAAAAGATGGACTCTCAGCAAAATTTTAGAAAGAGATACAGAAGGAGATTTGGAGCATGTGAAAATGCATAAAATAAGAACACCATTGTCATAATCTAAATTGCAGGTTAACCAGATTGCCAGCAGATCCAATTTATTTTGATTTACAAGAAGTAACATACGTTTCCCATCAGATTATTGGCAAAAATGTATTTATTGCCAACCTTGGCCACATTTTGTCTTTGAGTTTTCTTGATAAAGTTCAGGTGTTGAAAATGGAGTAGGGGTAAGAGGAACAATCTCAAAATCAGAAAGCAAAATGAATTTCTCTGTCTTTTTAAATCTGCCCTTGGGACAGGCCTGAGTTTTTAGGCATAGTAGGTTCAACAGTGGATCTCCAAAGATATGTTCAACTGGAATCTCAGAATGTAACTTTATTTGGCATAAGAATCTTTGTAGATGTAATTAAGGTTAGCATCTCAATTTGAGGTCATGCTGGATTGAGATAAGCATGAAATCCACCAATGAGTGTCCTTATAAGAGACAGAAAAGGAGAATACAAAGAAACATAGGGAATAATGACATATGAAGACAAAAGTAGAGACTGGAGTTATGCTGCCATCAGTCAAGCAATGCCTGGGGCCACCAAAAGCTGGAAGAGGCAAGGAAGAATTAAATTTTTTCCCTAGGGCTTTTGGAAGGAACATGGTCCTCTGACACTTTGATTCCAAACTTCTGGTTTCTACAACTGTGAGAGAATAAATATCTGTTGTTTTAAGTCACCAGCTTGGATGTAAATTATTATGGCAGCCTTACAAAACTAGAAGACTAGATACGTGCTCTTATTGTTAAACCCAACCAACCAACCAACCAACAGACAAACAGCATCCAACATGATCTAATGTTTTCTTCATATCCCTCATGATGAAAGGAAGGTACATGGAAAGAACTGGAATTGTCCTGAGTTAATCCACTCACTGACACTCTAGCCCAAATTTGAGGGGAACCATCCAAATCATAGTGAGTAGGTCACAGGAGGATGTCACATGTCACAGGAGGATACTAATCCCACCATTCACAATGTCTTTGCCCAGGGAATGGGGTGTGTTATGAGGCATTATACCACCTGGGCCTACACTAGGCAGGGATTGGCCTGAAAGCACATCCTTCATATATCTTCTGCTGCCTGTAGCATGTATGATGCACTCAAAATCTTAAGAGCCCATGGCTTTGCATACAGATATAAGGTTTTTTTATATAAAGGATGGATAATGAGGATGTTATTAAAGCCACACTGTCCCAGGCTGGGACACAATTTGAGAACCCAGCACTGCACATCTGAGCCTAAACACAAAAATTGGCCATCTTCTGTCAAGCCAGTCAACAAGATGTTACAGGCTGCAGTTGTTATGTGGGACTTAAAGACAGAAAATTTTCAATGGCAAGGCTTAAATAGGAAAATGTTTGGGAGGCCGAGGTGGGCAGATCACAAGGTCAGGAGATTGAGACCATCCTGGCCAACAAGGTGAAGCCCCATCTCTACTTAAAAAAAAAAAATACAAAAAATTAGCCGGGCGTGGTGGTGGGCACCTGTAGTCCCAGCTACTCGGGAGGCTGAGGCAGGAGAATGGCGTGAACCTGGGAGGTGGAGCTTGCAGTGAGCCGAGGTCGCACCACTGCACTCCAGCCTGGGCGACAGAGCCAGACTCTGTCTCAAAAAAAGAAAGAAAGAAAGAAAAAGAAAAAATAGGAAAATGTTCGTTGAAATCTTGCTGAAGTCTTAGAATGCAATCTGACTAAAATCATAAATAAATACATAAACAAGCAAACAAATTATCCCTGCCCCTGAAAAGCAGTCAATCAGAAGTTCTTTGTGCTACACTCCTACTAAAAGGAGATAATAGCTAATTGGTATTTACCCTCATGGTAAAAATTCCCTTAGTGCCTTCAGAAAATATTACCATTTACCTAAGAGAGAGTTCAACAAGTGCTCTAGGATGCAAGTGGAGGCAACACAGGCTGAAGAACTATTGTGTCCTGCCTCAGCATCTGCTCTCCTACTTCTGTGAAAGAGGATGCAGCTGTCCTGATGCTCTGGCTATTTCTACAGAGGAGACACAACTAACTGATGGTCTTATCCTTCTTTCATGTATAATATGCATAAGAGGAGATTTTACATATTTTGTGTATTAAATGGCTTTGACCATGCACTTCATTTCCAAGGTGACAGTAGTTACCTTGTGAAATGATAATGAAACCACAACAAAAGTCAGCAGTGAGGATTAGCAAAGAAAAAACTGGGACCAGGAGTGGAGGTGCTGATTGAGGTATTGTAGTCACCATGTACATGTTGCTATGGAAATTATGCAAAAATGAAAGAAAAAAGGAACTAAGTAGTTGTATTGAGAAGATAGAAATGACATGGCATGTCTCTGGTAACATTATTGAAGAGACTTCTTCCATTTCCTGAGACAAGCATCTAGAATAGTTAAAAATGGGAAATTAAGGGGTTCGTCAGAAGATTAAGTTAGCATTACAAATCTCTCACATAATAAGAATCAGCATCTCTCCCCAGTCTCCTGATGAAACTTTTTGGCACTGTGTTTACATCTCAACTTCAGAAAGCTCACTTGCAATCCTCATGACTAAGCTAATTTCACTGACTTGGTTAAAAAGATATTTTCCATTTTTTTTTAACAGCACAGTCTTTGCTCAAGAATGGCTCCCAGGGTTTAATCTCTTATCCTAATTCGAATCACACAGTCCATAATTTCCTGGTACCCAAACAAATTCAGTGGGCAGGCATGAACAAAATTTGGCCATAAACACTAGTAATCACCATTTTGTTTCAAGCTTTAATAAGAGATTGTGGCTACAATGCTACTTGCCAATGGAGAGAAGTCCTCATATCAACCTCGGCAGTGGATATGATTTATTTAAAAAAGAAAGAAACCAGGAGTCATCTGGGTAAAATTAACTGCCTGTGGTATGAACTTTGATCAGCCTACCAGAACCACAACCTAGCACCAAAATCCTTGGGTAAATCAAAAACATTAGAATAAAAAATAAAGAAAATACAGGTAAAGAGAGAGAAAGCAAAACTATTCTAAAACTCATGTCAGAGTTAATAGTCTTTAGCAGTGAAAAAAACCTTTTTTTCATTGAGGGTTAATTAGTTGCTTCACTTTCCCTTGTCTAGAAAAGATTGCTGTAGTAATTATTATTAACACTCTTAATAATAATGGTAACCAGTAATAATAATTGAGCCTTTTTACATCCCAGGTTTAGTATTATAATTGGTGTCTTATGTATTAACTCTTCTGATCCTCACCAGAGGAAGCTCACAAAGGTAACTAACTGGCTAAGCCTCTCATAGGCAGTAGGTGATACAGCCTGAAGAACCCAGATGGTTCAGCTCCTGAATCCTTCTTCTTACCATTATGTTCTGCCACGTCTCACATAACCAGTGGGAATCCACACAGCAGATGACCCTTAACTTTGTTCTGTAAAAATTCCATAGTAGGTAAAATAAGCTATCACCCAAGGGGTTTCTCTACTCTCCAATACAGAAAATGGACATTAGCCTAGTGATACCAAAATGCTACTGTTCTTCGTGGGAAATCCTAGCCAGTTGAAACCATTAAAGGGGACAAATGTCACTGAGCATCTACTGGATGCCAGACATTATTTCACGCATTTCAATGTGATTTATCTCACTTAGTCAAAAAAATATATATATGGTAAATTTGAAGAATGGTTAAAGAAGTGGGTGAACAGCCTTGGCATTTTCTCAACACTATAATTTTTTTGGTTGTTTACTTTGTTTTTTCTTGTAATTAAGTAATAATAAAAAGTTCAATAACTACAGCTCATTTTTTTTTTTTTTTGAGACAGAGTCTCGCTCTGTCCCCCAGGCTGGAGTGCACTGGTGAGATCTCAGCTCACTGCAAGCTCCACCTTCCGGGTTCACACCATTCTCCTGCCTCAGCCTCCTGAGTAGCTGGGACTACAGGCGTCCGCCACCATGCCTGGCTAATTTTTTGTATTTTTTTTAGTAGAGACGGGGTTTCATCATGTTAGCCAGGATGGTCTCGATCTCTTGACCTCGTGATCCACCCGCCTCAGCCTCCCAAAGTGCTGGGATTATAGGTGTGAGCCACCGTGCCCAGCCAACAACAGCTCACTTTCAAAATGTATGTTACTCTTTAGAATGTATTCAATCACTAGTTTTTGCTATGTGCGAGTTGTTCTTATAGTGGCCAGAGTCCCTCTTCAAATAGGTGATAAAATATCTTAAAGTATGTGAATATTCATATGTCTCAAGTTCAGTTAACAAATATAATTAGATTAAGCCTTGATATTTCTAATAGACTTCTCTAATAAATGTATTTTCTTAATTTCTACTATTATTAATGCTTTTTATTTAAAATTGAGGATGTGATACATAAGAAACAAATATAACTAGATAGAGCCTTCATATTTCTAAGAGTTTTCTCTAATATATAAATTTCCTTAATTTCTACCACTGTTAATGCTTATTTAAAATTAAGCATGTGATAACTATTTGTTGCCACCTCATACAAAATAAAACAATGTAATATTAATTATGCTTATTGTGCATGAGCTTTGTGTCGACTTACGGTGTAAGTTGTCTAGTAGCTCAGTTAGCCCCCACTTGCCAAACTATGTAGTCATACCAATTTTTTTTTCAGATGGATAAAGGGAGGCAAGTGGGTTTTGTAACCACAGAGTTAGTCATCAGAGGTGAACAGGACCAAGATTTGAACCTGACAGTTTTTCTTCAGAGTTGGAAATCTTAATCTCCATACATACTTGAGGTTTTGGGATCCTCACCAAATTTTCAATTATCTAACTTAAATACGGACAATGTGAAGGTCACAAAATTACTTTCAGTTATCTCTAAGATAAATCTCAGAGGGATAAGCAATTTTTCAGCAGATGAAATATAATCAAAACAAGAGATTATGTACCTTCTGGTCCTGTTGCCAAGAGATCACTGGTTTCCCCCAAGGCTTGATCTATTCATGAGGGCAGACTTTGGAATACTTTGAATTTCTCCTCATCTAGGTAAGCTTCGCGATGCATTATGGCAACCAGAATAATTTTATTCAAGAATAGGAAAGGCCAGCTAGTTTAGCACACTTAGACATGAAATTTACTATTATCATATTTACTTCAATCTTATTTCTTTTCTATTTTAATTTACAGATAGAAATTATGCAGTAGTTTTATAGGCTGACCTGTGTAAACTCCTTGTCATAATTTTTTAATACAGTCCTGAGGATTCTATACAATAATGTAATTGAGTTGCCTGCCACTCAATAAGTAATTGGCCTTCAGGTTTCTCTTAATGATGGTAAATAAGATGTTACAATTTCCTTTGTTTTCTGTAAGATATTTAATAATGAAAGTCTCAATCTACCACAATGTTTAACTTTGGGGAACAAGATCTGAAAAGAATATACTCTTAAAAACTTAAATGTTGAATTATTCCTTCACATGTAATGTCCTGACACTTATTTTTCTACCAGCATACAGGGAGTAAATATTCAAAATGATTGCATAAGTGTATACAAACTAGAGGCTAGGAACTGGTAAGCCTTGTCCAGATGACAAGACACTCTTTGCTAAAATTAACATTCTCTCTCACCTCAGAGGTTTCATCATTGCTATTGTTGTCGATATTGCTGTTAATTAAAACTGTATTCTGTAAATTACCTGTGAGAGTGAGTGGTTTTAATATTACTTTAGTGTCCACATAGAAATTCTTCAGTGATGAGAAGATAAGACCCCAAAAGATTGCTCACTGTACAGGGACTCTTGGCTAGCTAAAAAAAAAAAAAAAAAAAAAAAAATGCTAAATATTTCCATTGCTGAGATGTAAAAGAAGAATTCCCAAACATTTGAGGTATCTGTTTAATGTCTAAAATAAGAAGTTGAAACCTTTCACTAACAACTTGTGCTGTGAAACACGTAAGTTTAAATGAGTAATTCAACAGTTACTGTTTGGATTTACATAGAAAGACTTTTGCCTAAGCCTGTGCTGAACACATACCAAAACAATTATGCCTAGCGCGTACACAGTGATAAGAATGTTTTCTTTTGACATCCACTAGAGGAGAAACTTAGAGCAGCACCACTTTCTACTGCTACCCTTGGGTCCGTGCTGCGGTAGTTATTTACCTGAATTGTCCTCGGAGTAACTGAATTTCCTTGTATAAGAAATGGACCTAAAGTAATGGATTTGCCCATTAGTGAATAATATTAGAAACAGTTTCAATTGTAATGCAATTCATGTTCAGTTCCATGCAATTTCTGCGTAGAAACACAACTGAAAGAAAAATGACAACCAATCAACCAGTAAAACTGCAATAAATACTTTTCAGGTGAGAAAACGTCAAAACAGTGTGGATTTGGAAATCCTTCCATTGTGCTAATTATAGATCTTTTTTATCTCTCTGAACACTTGTCAATAGTCATTAGGTTTATACAATTTTCTCTTTTTAATGCATCAAAAAATCACCAAATAGGAAGAAGTAAATCTGTATAACAGGACATCTAACAATTGGTTTTAAAATACATAACCTACAGTCTAAAATAAAGAAGAAATATATACATGTGAGGCTTTTTTTGACTGACTATATTATAAAATATGCTAAAATTGTACTGCAAATGAACTCTCCTCACCTCCCAAATAATAACAAAACATACAGTGAAACAAAATTGTACAAGTTTATATTAAGGCTCTCAAATTTAAACTAAGCATAAAAACTGAGCAATTTATCTTGGGATTCTAAAAAAAAATGAATCTAACAAAATTCAAATTGATGATACCCGACATGTTGTCATAATATAACAAAGTTTACTCTCTGAAGAAATATCAAGTTTTAAAAATAAATAGGAACAATACCAAGCATCATCTACAGTCCAGTTTCTAGTTTTCTCAGCACCATGGGTAACTTTTGTAAGAAATGAGATAATCCTGTAGTCCCAGCTACTCGGGGGGCTGAGGCAGGAGAATGGCGTGAACCCGGGAGGCGGAGCTTGCAGTGAGCGGAGATCGCGCCACTGCATTCCGGCCTGGGTGAAAGAGCGAGACTCCGTCTCAAAAAAAAAGAAATGAGATAATTAGATTTACTGTAAATGAAATTTTGATGAAGTGCTATTGAAGTATAATATTCTATGAAATCCCTTCTTACCCTGAAAGGAGCTAAATGACAACTGCTTGATTATCATGGGACAAAGGATAACTTTAGGTTTTTTTCTTCTAAATTGTGGATAGTGACTATTTCGGTATTTTCTGTAATGGTATTTTCTGTAAGTGATATTACCCAGCTTTTAGGTCCACATCTTAGCCAAATCACTTCCTGAAACCTGACTTTACAACAAAAACCTTCTTGTTCTTCCTTAGCCTGTGAATAGTGGCAGCATTTAAAATTAATACCATGCAATTACCTTCTGTTCTATGATAATCTTTCATATTTTCTCTTGTTTTCTCAAACTCTTCATAACTCTTAGGTCAAATTTCATGCACTATATAGTTCCCTTCCTTTTGTATCACCTTTATGTAGCTAAGATTATAGTAAATTCTTAACAAGAATTTATAGATTTATCGGTCAAATTATTAACCGTTCAACAAGAAGACCAAAGCCAATGTAATATTTTTAAAAGTAGGGATTAAGAAAATTACCTTTGGTATTATCCTTAAAGAGAGTTTTAGTCCTTATTTTCCAATACATACACTCAACTATACCTCCCATTTTGTAAGAAAACCAGCTGCATTTGGGAACATTTCTTAAATTGTTGAAGTCTTAACATTGATACATTTAACTATTTACTTACAATCTTTGTGAATATTATAGAGGATATTCACTAAAGATAACTAAAGAGATTGTACTCCACATGTCAGATGAATGGCTTTAAAACCTTAGTCAGTAGAATTCGCCAGGATTTTTGCTTAAAGTGCAAACTTCTCAGTTAGTTCCAAGTCCAGAGATTCTGAATTAACAGGCATAGAACAGACCTGGGAATCTGCATTTTAAATAAACTCAAGGTCCATCTTAAATGCACTCAGAAATAAGTGATTTTACTACTTGAGAAATGTAACTTGAGGAGTTTAAAATCTGTGAAATCTGTGATAAAAATTAATTATGTGGCTGGGCATGGTGGCTCATGCCTGTAATTCCAACACTTTGGGAGGCCAAGGCAGGCAGATCATAAGGTCACGAGTTCAAGACCAGCATGGCCAATATGGTAAAACCCCGTCTTTACTAAAAATACAAAAAAATGTAACCAGGTGTGGTGGCTGGTGCCAGCTACTTGGGAGGCTGAGGCAGGAGAATTGCTTGAACTGGGGAGGTGGAGGTTGCAGTGAGCCTAGGTTGCACCACTGCACTGCAGCCTGGGTGACAGAGTGAGACTCCAGTTAAAAAAAAAAAAAATTTAATATGTGCTTTGGCACTTTAAAGAGAAGTAAATAAATGAGTCGTGTTTGGCTTATATTCTGTCCATCTCTGCACATTTTCTTTCTTTCTTTATTCACCTTGGCTGGTCTGTGTATTTACATGTAACTTTCATGAAAACTCCATCCATCTTCATCAATACGCATAATACATACTTTGCAAGGCCCTTTTTAGAAATCGTATTCAAATATTTCTGAGCCGGATGAATCAGTCTGTGTTAGTCTGTTTTCATGCAAATAAAGACATACTTGACTGGGTCATTTATAAAGAACAAGTGATTTAGTGGACTCACAGTTTCACATGGCTGGGGAGGCCTCACAATCATGGCAGAAAGCAAAGGAGGAGCAAAGGCATGTCTTAGATGGCAGCAGGCAAAAGAGCTTGTGCAGGAGAACTCCCATTATGAAACCAACAGAGACTTATTCATTAACATGAGAACAGTATGGGGGAGACCGCCCCCATGATTCAATTATCTCCACCCGGCCCTGCCCTTGACATATTGGGATTATTACAATTCAAGGTGAGCTTTGGGAGGGGAAACAGCCAGACCATATCACAGTCCCATAATCTCTTTTGTAGTGATAAAAATCACAAATTTGAACCATTCATGATATTTTCTTATACTATGATTTATGAAAGATTTATGGAAGATTTACTTATTTCATTTTGTATCTCCTCCACCTTCACTATTGCAATGGATTAAATGGTTGTTTTTCTCCCCCCACCCAAATTCATATGTCAAAATCCTAACCCACAATGTATGGTACTAGGAGGTGGGGTCTTTGGGAGCTAATTACATCATGAGACTGGAGCCCATGTGAATGAGATTAGCACCCTTATAAAAAAGACCCCAGAGAACTCTCTTGCTCTTTATCTATTGTGTGAGGATGTAAAGAAAAGACGGCAGTCTGCAAGTCAGAAGAGGGTCCTCACAAGAATTCATCCATGCTGGCACTCTAATCTCATAGTTCTGAACTCAAGATCTGTGAGAAATAAATCTCTGTTGTTTATAAACCCATCCAGCTTACAAAGTGCCTAGTCTATGGTACTTTGCTCTGGCAGCCCAAACTAAAACAACTATATTTTCAAGAAAAAAAATATGCATGCACATACATCTATAAAAGTCTTCCACCTGGTAACTCTGAAATAACTTTTACTTTAATGGTATTCATATAAGAAAGAAATGTATGAAGCCAAAATAAATCTCAAAATTAAGGGGGAATATTACTTAGCAAAATGCATGTTTGCTTTGCCAAAGCCTGAAACTTTTTTCTTTTTAAGCAAATTGAAAACCTCAAAGATTTCAACATTTTTTATTACTTATCCCAGCAAAATCATTCAGACCACTTATTTTTAAAATTAAACAGTCACTAATTTATTTCACTTTTATGCAGTTAAGATAGGAAGTGGAGGTCAATTGGAAAATAGAATTACAGGAATAGGACCATCATGAAATGATTTTTTTAATTTATTACCATTCAGAGCATCTATACTTGTTTGTCACACATTCAGAAGAATGGAAGAAAGGAGGGTAGAGAATGAGTCATATGCATTGAAAATTATTATTCAGTTTTAAAATGAGTGCCCAAAACTATAGACACTGTACGACCCTGAATTTGAATATTTTACATTTCATTCTTCTATTAAAATTCATTTCATTGAGAACAAAAAGAAAACAAGAAAAAATAAGAAGATAAGCATCTTCAGAGAAACAACTATAGCCCGAAACCAAAAACTGAGAAGCAAACCTTCCAAATACTGTTATATTTCAACTAAAACAAGGAGTGATCAGAGTGAGTGCTTTCACATGTATAATCAGTACGTGTTCAGGATGGTCATTTTTTCCAGATATCATTGCCGCTACTCTGGGAGATGTAACTCAAAAACTATTTTTCTTAAAATTGTTAGATTTTATGGAATAATGTGACCATGATATTAATAAAAGTAGGAAAGTCACTATAGAGTAACTCAGTGTTGTCTAACCATAAAATGGAAAGTATTTGAAGTTGTGAGAGAATTCAGGCTGATGTACTCTGTTCATTTCATATACTCTGAGTTCCAAACAGAATGAAGCTCACAGAAGTGGAAAGGAGCAAAAGAGAAAAGAATTAACCAGCATGTGATAATATAGAGATTAGAAATGTAGATTTAGAAACCTAGGAATCTAAATCTGAGCCACATTACCTTTAGAAAAGTGAATGCTGATAGGAGGAGAAACAATTATCCAGTACTTAGGGAGTAAGAAAATAGTGTGACGGTATTCCATTACAAAAACATGGATTTAAAAAAAGATACAAATTGCAATGCCACCCCACTCCTGCCCCAGAGGATCCCTTAGCTAATACCTGGATCTGTTCTACGAGGAATGCAGAGAGAAAAAAATCAGTAAAATATATATGCCTGGTGTTCTATTTTCTAAATATGAAAATGAACAAAAAGCATAAACAAGATGCAGTTACTAAAACTACATCACAAGTAGAATTACCAAAGTAATCAGAGAACAAATTGAAGTTACCTTAATCTCAATTTAGAAATTGAAGTGAACAACTAAGGAATTATGTAAGAAAGAAATACATAGGCACTATACATCAGCAATTACATCCAGAAAAATAGTGAATATCTAGAAGAAACCACACAAAAGTAAATTATATGAAAAGACAAAGGCATAATAAAAATCCTTAATATGGTGTTGGTAAATATAGATGCATGACAATGGAGACTCAACCTCTGCCTACTTGATGTTTTGAAGAATAAGAAAGAACATTAACATTGGAAACATTACTTGTTGAAAACTTCAAAGAGATAAAATGACACTTGAATCTATAGATTAAAATAGCATTCTGTTTTTTAGACAAAAATATAGAGATACTGATCATCACTAAGACTGACTTTGATTCACTTACTAGATTTGAAGAATAAAGCAATAGGATAATTGTCATCTGGGCAGTTAAACAAGTCTCTGAGAATTCAACTGTTGCTGATGAAGAATTAATGATTACCAGAATTATGCAACTTTTGTAAACGTTTAGAAATCCAGAACAAGTATATAAACTGTTTTTATTGCATGAAAAAAATAGGCAGCACAAAACTGTGATTTCTGAGAGAAAGAAAACAATATATACCCTTTATAGTGCCAGCATACTTACTGAAAGTGATTTCCAGCCTCCAGCATGGTATGAGACAATCTGAGAGAGAATATCATGATTTGCTGAATTTAAGAGCAAGATATCAAAGTTTATGGAGGCCAAGGTGACTAGAATCATCAAGGCAGACTGACAGAGAGAAGAGGGCTGCACAGAGAGAGAACTGTGGAGATTTACGTAGAGGTTCTCTGGAGTCCTTGAGTGAGAACTGAACTGTGCCTACATAAAGTAAAACTCCATGAGATAGAAAAATGAGTCTTCATTAGCAATGGGCCAGAGAAATTCCTGGAGGTCATATGGGCCTTAGAAGAAACAGTATGTGCTCCAGCCAGAGTGAGAAACTTATAACATCAGATAGAGTTCTCAGAATAATCACACCTTAGTAGGGGGTGAATCAGCTCTAGAGTCAAGGCTTTGAAGCCATTATAATCACATTTAAAAGTAAACAATATCACCACTGATCTCAGATAACTGCATTTGAAAACAAAGTTCATCTCTCTTTAAATAAAACAAAATCCAGATCCTAACAATGTAGAATTCAGAATTTCCCTTAGACATTAAAAAAATAACAGAAAGGCATATAAACAAAAAAATTCATCCAAAACAAGACAAAAAATTAACAGAAACAGACCAAGAAAAGACAGAAATTATGGGATTAGAAAATATTAAGCAGCTTAACAACACACATAATTGAAATCCCAGGAAATTGGGGGAGGGCAAAAACTATTTGTAAAGGCAGTGGTTGAGATATTTTTAAAACTTGGTAAAACTATAAACCAACAGGTAAAAGAAGTGCAGTGGAATCAAAGCAAAATGAATAAAAGGATTAAGTTGAAGAAAGTTGTTTTTAAAAAGAAAACTTAAAAACAGTTGGAGAAAAAGAGATGTATTATTGACAATGGAACCAATGTAATAACTACTTTTTATGATAAGCATGTATATCAGAAGACAGTAGCGCAACATTCTATTACTTAAAGCAAGAGAAACAAGTCAACCTGGAAATTCATTCATGTGAAAATTCTAAAAAAATCAAGAAATTTACAAAAATGAAAGCAAATAAAGCTATTTTGACAATAAGTAGCTGATAGATTTTATCAACAGCATACTGGTACTGAAAGAAATGGTAGACAAAAAGAAAGTAACAGGATGATAATTTACTTTTTTTATTATTATACTTTAAGTTTTAGGGTACATGTGCACAACTTGCAGATTTGTTACATATGTATACATGTGCCATGTTGCTCTGCTGCACCCATTAACTCGTCATTTAACATTAGGTATATCTCCTAATGCTATCCCTCCCCCCTCCCCCCACCCCACAACAGGCCCCGGTGTGTGATGTTCCCCTTCCTGTGTACATGTGTTCTCATTGTTCAATTCCCACCTATGAATGAGAACATGCAGTGTTTGGTTTTTTGTCCTTGTGATAGTTTGCTGAGAATGATGGTTTCCTGCTTCATCCATGTCCCTATAAAGGACATGAACTCATCATTTTTTATGGCTGCATAGTATTCCATGGTGCCTATGTGTCACATTTTCTTAATCCGTTCTATCATTGTTGGACATGGGGGAAAGGATTCCTATTTAATAAATGGTGCTGGGATAATTTACATTTTTAAAAAGAAATGACTCATGTTAGAAATAATACATAGGGCTGTGCATGGTGGCTCACACCTGTAATTTCAGCACTTTGGGAGTCCAAGTTGGGCGGATCACAAGGTCAGGAGTTGGAGACCAGCCTGACCAACATGGTCAAACCCTGTCTCTACTAAAATACCAAAATTAGCTGGGTGTGGTGGCGTGCGCCTCTAATCCCAGCTACTCGGGAGGCTGAGGCAGGAGAATCACTTGAACCCAGGAAGTGGAGGTTGCAGTGAGCCATGATCACACAACTGCACTCCAGCCTGGGCGACAGAGTGAGGCTCCGTCTCAAAAAAAAAAAAAAAAAAAAAAAAGGAAAAAGAAACAATACATACAAAAGACGTTTTTTCATGTTTTAAGTAATGTTAAAGGTAATGGATTATTTAAAACCAAAATAACAATTATTTCTGTGGTATTCAAAATATATATAAAGAAAGGAGGAAAACCCTATGACAGTAGGGCAAAGAACTGTAGAGAGAAAATGGATAGACAGTTATAATATTTGTTTTTTTATTTGAACATTTATTTTAAATTTATGGAACACATGTACAGGTTTGTTACATGGATATATTGCGTGATGCTGAGGTTGGTGGTACGGTTGAGACCATCTCCCAGGTACTGAGCATAGTACCTAACAGACAGTTTTTCAACCCCAGCCTCCCTCCCTGCCTTCCTCTCCCTCTAGCAGTGTCCAGTTTCTATTGTTGCCATTTTTATGTCCATGAGTACCCCGTGTTTAACTCCCATTTACACGTGAGAACATGTGGTATTTGATTTTCTGTTTCTGCATTAATTCACTTAAGATAATGGCCGCAAGTTGCATCCATGTTGCTGCAAATAGATGGTTTTTTTCTTTATTATGGCTGTGTAGTATTCCATAGTGTATATGTACCATATTCTCTTTATCCAATCCACTGCTGATGGGCACTTAGGTTGATTCCATATCTTTGCTATTGGGAACAGTGCTACAGTGAACATACAAGTGCATGTGTCTTTTTGGTAGAATAGTTTATTTTCTTATGGATATATAACCAGAAATGGGATTATTAAGTCAAATGGTCGTTCTGTTTTAAGCTCTTTGAGAAATCTCCAAACTACTTTCCCCATTGGCTGAACTAATTTACCTTCCCATCAACAGTGTATAAACCTTCCCCTTCTATAGCCTTGGCAGGAACTTTTCAATAAAAGATATTATTAAACGTTTTTGGAATTTTTATTAATAGCCATTCTGGCTAGTGTGAGATGATATCTCATCTTGGTTTTGATTTACATTTCTCTGAGATTAGTGATTACGAGCATTTTTTTCATGTTTATTAGCCACTTGTATGCCTTCTTTTGAGAAGTATCTGTTCATGGTTTTGCTCACTTTTAAAATTAAGTTATTTGTTTTTTTGCTTGTTTAATTGTTTAAGTTCCTTATAGATTCAAGATATGAGACTTTTATTGAACACATTGTTTGTGAATATTTTCGCCCATGCTGTGGGGTGTTTGCTTATGCTGTTGATAGTTTCTTTTACTGTGCAGAAGCTCTTTAGTTTAATTAGGTCCCACGTGTCAATTTTTGTTTTGTTGAAATTGCTTTTGAGGACTTAGTCATAAATTCTTTCCCAAGGCTGATTTTCTGAATGGTGTTTCCTAGCATTACTTCTAGGATTCTTATAGTTTGAGGTCTTACATTTCAGGATTATAGGTTGCTGGGTTTTAGTATCATGGTAATGCTGGCTTCAGAATTGCAATATTTTAAAACTATATAGCAGGTATTATAAATATTATTTGAAGGTTGAGTGTTTTAAGTTAAAAAAATGTACAGATGGTACTCTTTATGCACATCAGTGCGGGGCCTTAGTAACCACTGTGCAAGTTGAAACTGGGCAAAGTTATCTTAATAATTAATGGAAAAACATAAACTTGTTCCTGCAATCATTAAAAACACTTGTCAGTCAGGTGCAGTGGCTCACACCGGTAATTCCAGCACTTTGGGAGGCCAAGGTGGGCAGATCACTTGAGCCCAGGAGTTTGAGACCAGTTTGGGCAACATGACGGAACCCTGTCTCTACAAAAACTACAAAAAATTAGCCAGGAGTGGTGATACGTACATATAGTCCCAGCTATCCAGGAAGCTGAGGTGGGAGGATCACCTCAGCCTGGTGGTCGAGGCTACAGTGAGCCTTTTTGATACCACTGCACTCCAGCCTGGACAACAGAGTGAGATCTTGTCTCTAAATAAAAGAATAAATAAATAAACACATTTGTCAAAATATTAAAAATGTCTTACTGTTGGTTATATATGCATAGAAAAGTAAAAACCAAAAAACAACCCTAAAACTAGTATTTATATAGTACACTATAATTTAAAACATTGATAATTAAAATACATGTTTTATATATTTCTTTGAAATGTATTCAGAGTAGTTTGTACAGTATTTGCACAACTTCTCATCATGTGATTCTCAATATTTTTTATGCTTTGGTGAATTGCCATACTTCTTTATAAATTCGATTATTTGTCCAACATTTTATTGTTTGTGCGTTCATTGTCTTTAAACATCTTGGAGAATTTCTTCAATGTAATTTTTTTTCTCAGCATCACATCTTCTGGGAAAACATTCGTCTTTTCCCTGCAATCAGCTTCTTCATTTAAGTTGTAAATATGTCTTCCGTAAGTTCCCCTGACTGCACATATGAAATCTCTTGGATGGTAGTTGTGTCAGCATTCTCGCAATTAACTATTTCTTCTATCAATCCATCAAGATCCAATCTGAATTTCACTTTCGGTGTTGACACTTTCATTTATTTTCCACACTTTCATTTTTGTTGGCCGATTTTCTGTCGTTTATCAATTTTTGTATAATGTCATGCCTTTATCACTGAAAGACAAAGAAGCAACACTACTGGATGCTTTCCTGTCTCTGTATGAATACAAAACAGATACATAGTAATTGATTATTAATAGATATTGAGAAAAGTGACGTGACTGATCATGGATCTTGATGCAAATCTGATATTTACCTAATAGTTTTATGGACTGAAGAGTTAACAGAAAAAAATTGTACTTCAATCCGTTAGTCCCAATTAATACACTGCTGTACCTAAACTGTTTTGTTTTGGGGCTTGTGCTATGTAACTAAAGCATGATAACTAAAGCCTTTGCATATCAAAACTAAGGGAAACAAGAACTGTCTATTTTATGAGCCCTATATCAATCATTAAAATTAAAACAAAATGGAATGGTTAAAAGTTAATAGTGGAGATAAAAGCGGATCTTAAAAACTAAATTCTCAATTCAAAAGAAGGCAGAAAAAGGGGGAAAATGAACAGAAATGATGAGATATTTAGAAAACATATAGCAAGAGAGTAGTTATACATCCAATCATATTGATAATTACATTAAATTGACAAAATATTCTTATTAAAAGGCAGAGATCATAAGACAGGATTAAAAACACTGACTCAACTATATGCTCTTTATAAGAAACTTACTTGAACCAAAAAAAAAAAAAAGAAAAACAAACAAACCAAAACCCACTAAAACTGTGATGAGCAAAGTAGACATCAGAACAGGAAATATCACTGGGGATGAAGAATAACATTTCATAATGACAAAGGGGAAAATACTCCAAGAAGACATGTAAATAATAAATATGTATGCACACAATAGCATTACTTCAAAATACATAATATAAAACCTATTAAAACTGAAAGGTAAAATAGTAAAACCACAGTCATCCATGGGGATTTCAACAGTCTCCTGCCAGAAATTTTTAAAATTTGTTAAACAAAAAATTGGTAAGGGTAGAGAGGATCTTAAAAATATAATTAGCCAACTTGATCTAATTGAATCTTTTAGAATAATCTAAGGATGAGGGATGAGGTAGCAGAGAAAGAAAGGCAGACATCAACGTGACATTAGTGTTTCAAGGCTATGAGAATACACCAATAATCGTGTGTGTGTGTGTGTGTGTGCAGATGGTAAGCTCAATCTTAAAAATGTTGAGTTTTAACTGACAATTCATTATTAGGAAAGATAAGAGGAGATGATATCTAGGGAGAGGCTATATGACTGAACTCTAAGAGAAAGGTCACAGCAGAAATTGTGTACTTGACAGCTCTATAAGGTCAGTCAAAAATAAGTCAGTGATGAATTCTCTGGTGTAAAAGCAGAGGAATGAGGATTAGATTTAAAACACATGGAAGCACAGTGACTTATGATAAAAACATGAGCTTGAAAATCCTGCAGACAGGGCTTTAAATCCTGGGTATGATATTCTGCTTGTGTAGGCAATAGTGATAAAAACACAACAACAAAGAGAGGTAAAGAGCACTTTCCTTTGATATAAGTAAAGGGCACGACTTATTGCCCATATATATATAGGTATTCAACTGAGATTCAACATGTTTCTCTCATTGAAACAGCAAGCTCTCCAGGCCTTCATGTTCCCAGTGAGGTAGGTACTCTTCTGATGATTATACTAACCCTCCCTCATTACAAAGCTCCCATTGTTATTGTCTTGGCTCTGGATTCCCTCAAAAATAGATGATGAAACAAATATCTGGGGTCAGATACTTTAATCAGAAATCGAGTGAGAAAGCACAGAAGTGGAGAAAATGAAACAGAACACGGAGCCAGTGTGAATGAGTAGTTACTGCTATGTGCTCAGTAATGATGGAGGTATGGAGATTGTCTCAAAATAACTTTACAGAGAGATGGGAATGCTGGAATCCCCATCTCTTATTGCTTAAGGATTGCCTTAGAATCATTAACTCTCCACCCCTAACTCCTTCTTTTTTCCTATGTGTGGTTGAGAAGCACTGGTTAGCCTCAAGAAGCTTGCAGGCAGGCCCAAAAATCAGAAAGACAGGCATGATGTGGGGAGCTCTCAGTTAGCTGGAAACAGGTGAATTTCAGGTGAACACATTGAGTCCAGGAGATAGAAGACAAGTCATCAACAATATCTGCTATGGCCAGTTATCTTTTTCTTTTTAAGAATATATATACTTTTTATTGGGGGTCCCCAAGTCCCCCTTTGGTTTAATGATTCACATAACTCAAGAAAGCTGATTTTTTTTTGTGGTTATAGTTTCTAACAGTGAAAGAAACAAGATTAAAATAATCAGAAGCATAAAAGCACATAAAGTTGAGTCCAGGACAAACCAGATGTGAGCTTACAGGTGTCCTTTCATAGTGGGGACTTCACACTGACTAATTTTCTTTACAATGGTGTGAGACAACATGTGTGAACTTGTTGCCAACTAGGGAAGCTCAGTCAGTCTTGAGTCCAGGGTTTTCATTAGGATTCCACCACATATGCATCGAGCGTCCTGTGACTGAACTTAGCTACTTAGTTCCCAACCTCCCTATGCCCTAAGAGAGGTCATATTAATATGGCATTACACAAAGTCATACGCATACAGAAACAGGTGCTCACAAGAAATCACGTTGTTAGCATCAGCTATTTGGTAGGACCTACGTTTTCAGGTATACAAAGACTCTCATCAGGCAGCATATACCAAGGGCTCATAGGTTATCATCTCCCAGGAGCTTGTCGAGGGCCAGTCCTGAAGACCTTTGGAATGCACAAGGTTTTGGAAAGCCATGTCTGCAGAATTAACCCTTCATTACACACCTTCCAAGAATTTTTTTTTATCTTTAAAAATGTTTTTTGATCTTTGACAATGTACCAACCAAGACTGAGTAATTAGTAACAACAGTGTACTCCTGAGTACTTGCACCTGCAAGGAGAAAGAGGACAGATGCACTTACATAGGACAGATGCAAATAGACACCACTATGACAAGTTAAGCTGGAATAATCAATAAATTCCTAAAGACAAAGTGGGGCTGCTCAGATTGGGAGACTGCTGACAGCTGCAGAAGTTGGGAAAGATCCATCATCTTGAAAACTTTTTCCCCACAAACCCACTGTGATCTCTCAAGCAATTGGTAAGGAATCCAAGAGAGTCTGTATATGATACAGATCAGGGAGAGCAGAACACTTGGGAGGTGACCAGGTCTTGGGGGCTGAGCCCTTATGAATGGGATTAGTGCCTTTATAAAAGAAGCTCAATGGAATTCTTGTGTGCCTTCCACTATGTGAGGACATAGAAAGAAGACACCATCTATGAACCATGAAATGGGCTCTCATCAACACTGAATTTGTGAGCATCTTGACCTGAGATCTTACAGCCTCAAGAAGTGTGAAAAAAGAAATATCTGTTGTTTTTTAGTCACCCGGTTTATGTTATTTTGTTATAAGAGTCCAAATAGACCAAGATATTCCACTTAATATGTAGGGGAAGGCAACAAAAACTGCCACACTTAGAATACTCCTGATGCTGGAAGTATGAAAACAGGAAAAACAAAACAAAACTGCTCTTGAAGGTGAAGGAGGAATATCACTGAGCTCACCAACACAGCCAGGAAAAGAACAGAAGTGTGAGAAGGCTACATTCCTGAGACCCTGAGAAAAAGTACCTGCATAAGACTGAGATGAAATTACCTACCCTAGTTATAATTGAAATCCCAAAAAGAAAAGAGGAAAAAATAATGGAGCAAAAGAAATATTTTTCAAAATAACTGCCAAAAATATTCTAAAAGAAGTGACAGAAAATCAAACTTCAGATATAGGAAACTCAGAGAATGTCAAATAGAACAAAAATAAATAAGAATTAAATCTTGAAAAATCTTTAAAAAATCAACTCTAAATTTTATATCTTGCTCCAAATATATAGAGATATAAATAGGTTATCATCAAGATATGGAGAAAGCCATATCATGGAAACACTAAAATAAAGCTGTGGAAGGACTACATTGATATTAGACACAACAGAGTTCAGAACAAGAAATAGTATCAGAAATGAGAGATAATAGATAATATAATAATTCTCAAGAAGATGTAAACATCCTACTAATTAGGGTATGCAGCTAACAATAGATCCTCCAAATACATGAGGTAAAACAGGAAAGAAATCAAAGGTGAACTAGAAAAATCCAAAATTATATTTGCAGACTTCAACACTTTTGTCTTAGTAATGGACAGACTAGGCACAAACTCAGTAATCATATGGAAGATAAGAACAACAACATTACCAACAAGATATCCAATCTTCAATGGCAGATACTCTTTCAAGTGAAAAAAAAAACAGTATGGCATATTCTCCAACAAACCCAGAATTTCTAATATTTGCGGTCTTCCTTCCTTCTTTCCATCTTCCTTTCTCTTCTCTTCCCTTGCCTACTTCCTTCCTTTTCCTTTTTCTTTCTTTTCCTTTCTTTTTTTCTCCTTCCTTCCCCTTATTCTTCCTTCCCTCCTCCCTCCCTTCCTTTCTCCCTCCCTTCTTTTCTTCCTTCTTTTCTCTTATTCTTTCTTTCGCACTTTCTTTCCTTTTTTTCTCCCTTCCTCCCTACTTTTCTTCCTTCCTCCCTCCCTTCCTTTTTTCCTTCTGTTTTTCTTTGTTTCTTTGCCTTCCTCCCTTTTACCATTCTCTCTTCCTCCTTTCCTTCCTCCCTTCCTCCTTCCTTTCTCACTTTCTTTCTCTCTTTCTTTCTTGAGTTCTTGCTTTCTTTTTCTCCCTTCCTGCCTTTCTTCCTTCCTCCCTCCCTCTCATTTCCTCCTTTTCTTTCTTTCTTTCCTTCTTTTTTCTTTCTTTTCTTTCTCTTTACTACAATTCATATTATTTAAAAAAAATTAAGAGAGGGAGGCAGAAAAATAAAGAACATTTTAATCTGCAGGTAAATAGATTACGTCTGCTGTAGACAAAATAATGGCCTCCCCAAAATGTTCATGTTCTAATTCCCGGAGTCTAACATACAAATATGTTAGGTTGCATGGCAGTGGGAAATTAGATTTCAAATGAAATTAAGGTTGCAAAGGCGGCGGGGGCAAAAAGCCATGGCAGGAAAAAGGCGCGGGGGCGGGGGCAAAAAGCCACCGTGGCAAGGGCAAAAAGCCGCAAAAAGCCGCGGCGGCGGGGGCAAAGAGCCCCAAAAAGCCGTGGCGGCGGGCGCAAAAATCCGCGGGGCCGGGGGCAGAAAGCCGCGGCGGCGGGGGCAAAAAGCAGCGGAGGCAAAAACCCGCGGCGGCGGCAGCAAAAAGTTGCATCCGCGGGAGCAAAATAGTGGAAATGGGGTAGAAGACCAGCACAGCTTGGCATTCCTGGAGTGTGATGTGGAAGGAAAAGTGCAGCGGAAGACAAACAAAGATGTAAGTAGGCTTGACTCAGTGCAGCTAAGAACCCAGATGTTATCTTGATGTTATCTATCAGCTAATTTTTTGTATTTTAGTAGAGAAGGGGTTTTACCACGTTGGCCAGGATGGTCTCGATCTCCTGACCTCATGATCCACGCACCTCAGCCTCCCAAAGTGATGGGATTAGAGGCATGAGCCACAAAGTGCTCAAAAAATCTGTTAATTTAAAAAATGTGTATTTAGCCATCTTTAATCTACCATGTCCATTAGCAGATAAATAAGTAAAATAACAACAATGAAACAAACTTAGACTTAGAGTAGATACTCTGATTTATTTAATAAAAATTTGAAAGTAGACCAAATTATGATAAAAAAAATCTGTTACTATTGAGGATGAGGGTTAGTGTTTGGAAAGGGGCAGGAGAAGTATCACTATTTTTAGTAATGTTCTATTTTCATACATGGTTATAAGCAAATACATGTGTTTCATTAAGCTATCCATATTTAATCATTGTACTTTTCTGCATGTATGATATATGTCAATAAAATGTCTTAAATTATATACAGCAAAAATAGACAAAACCACAAGAAGACATACACGAATGTTAAACCTAGAGAGAAATTTGAATGTAAGTAAGTCTCTGAATGACTGCTAGAACAAACCGAAAAATAATCAGGATGGAGAGGTTTGGAACTGCATGATTAGCAAAATTGACATATCTGTCTTTTAGTATAGGCAGAAACATAGTTAGATTAAAAAAGGACTTGTCTCAGAGTGTGATTTCTGAAAATAGTGGAATCGAGTTTGAATCTAGTAAGTACATATAAATAAATGTCTTAAAACTCCTCTTATGTTAGCTAATTAAGAAATATTATTGTAATAGATATTAGAAAATATTTTAATAAATTGAGTGGATTTCACACGCTAAGGAAATGATCTTACTTGCATTTGATAGTTCAATTACATACATATATACCTATAGGTAGTTTAAAATATTTCTAAGAACCTTATATACTTTTAAAAAGCATTGATATCTGCTTGCATTATCTGGTCTATAGAGTACACATACCAAACATGATTACAGCTCTCTGCTGTAAACTTCAAATGTCTAATTAATACAAAAATCTAGAATGAGAAGAGTTCTTTGCAATTTTTTTTTTCACCAAATAGAATATAGGAAATATAGCTGCAAATATACCTGACACACTTATTTGTGAGTATGGTGGTAGCCTTTTTATTTTATTTTATTTTATTTTTCAGAGAGTCTCACTTTGTCACACAAGATGGAGTGCAGTCATGTGATCAGAGCTCACTGAAGCCTTCACATACTGTGCTCAAGCGATTCTCCCACCTCAGCCTCCTGAGTAGCAGGGACTGCAGGTGCATGACACCATACTAGCTAATTTTTGTAAAGATGGGGTTTCACCATGTTGCCCTGTCTGATCTCCAACTCCTGGACTCAAAAGATCTGGCCACCTTGGCCTCCTAAAGTGCTGGGATTATAGTTTTGAGGCACCACGATCAGCCCAGCCTTAAAAAAGGCTGACTAGAGATCTTTATCTATGCATATCTATATCTATCTATGAAATAAACATGTTTATTATATAAAAATATATATTATTAATATTATATAAAAATTTTTTTTCAAGGTAGAAATATATAAAGGGGGTGCATGTAGAGCCTGGGTCATTGTGTAGTGAAGCTCAAGGCCTCTGAAGAAATGCCCCTTGCCTCTTTTGTCTGGGCTAGAATCCTAGAAGGGAAAGCAGCAGATGCACTGGTTCCCAGGTTCTTGGCATCCTACAGAGAGAAACATGTTTGAGCTAGGGTAGCATTAAACACCCTTGTTCTTACTCTCCTGTTTTATGTAGTGAGCAGAGACTAGCTTCATGAGAACAGACTGTGACAGTCAAGGTTGTCTGTTACTTTGTGCAGCATTAATTGAGAAATTCTAGCACCTGAAGACCTCTGGGCCATTTGAGGGTAGGTGCAGGGGAGGAAAGGGAAGTTTGCATCCCTCCTGCTGTGGAGAGAACCCATGGGAAGCACAGACCTTGTCCTAACTGAAGGTAGACCCCCTTGCTAACCAGCTTCTCATCAGCCAACCCTGGATGAGTTTCCATGTCTATTTACTAAATAATCCTTATTGCTTTTCTTCATATGGGCAAAGTATGGTTTACAGGGAATATTGTTCCTTTGAACACCCATCGTGCAAACCCCTTCTTGTTGTGGGAAAACAGGCTTCCATGTGTGTCTTATTGGGAAACATATAGGCAATTTCTATGTTTTTACTGCATCTATTTCATGGATATGGGAACTGAATAGTGCCCATCAAAGGCTCACCTGATGTTGGAAATTGATCTGAGAGCGCGGAAAGACAGAAATCTTTCTTTGTTCCTGGGCAGCGGTGGTTGAGGGATCATTTTGTGGCAGCTACAGTGGCAATGATGGAGGCAGAATGGAGGGCTCAGTACCAAGACAAGGAGAGACTTGGCCTCACAATGGCAGCATTGCAGGGGTATGCTCTACAGAGCATTGGCTCACATGGTTTTGGGCATTGTCTCTAACTACATTGCTTCCCCAATAGGTTGACCCATTCTAAATAACTCCTTTCCTCTTTAAAAAAGGAAACTTCATTTGTATGACTTGCAATTGTAAATGACACCAATTGGCCAGTTATCATTCAAATTCTCTGTTACTTAATCCTGCCTTTTCCTAACGTATGCAACTTTCCCCTAAAAAATTGGACACTTTGTTGCTTACTCATTGTCTTTACACATTTTAAAATGTTGCTTTATGCCCCCAATCCCTAACTACATTTTCAATGTTTTGCAAGTGGAGTCCATGTGTTCTTGATTTACATGAAACTCAAAATAATGGTTATAGTAACTAGTACTTCATAATTAAGCCAAAAGCACTTATTGAAAAATGACAGAACTATACATAGAGATGATAACATGGAGAGAGATTTCCTGAGATCACAAAGTTATGGTATGGCAGAACTAGAACGTTGAGTAGAGACTCTGTGTTCTCAATCATTATTGCTACCACCAGCTTTCTATTTTGATGTTAATAATGTTCTTATGTGGGAAACCCTACATATTTGCCAATGTTTAGTTCATTGACAAAAATAAAGAGCTTCAAGAACACTCTAATCTTTAAAAAATAAAATACCTATAATTGGCCATACGAAAAAATTGGTACTTGACATATGCTGAGATCGTTTTATTTTGTGCTAGACAAATGAAGTCATAGAACAGAATGTGCTTTAAATATTATGAATAGTGCTTGCGTGTGTGTGTGTGTGTGTGTGTGTGTGTGTGTGTTTGTGTGTTTATAGATGCATATTAGGCCGCTGAAAAGTTTTACTATTCTTTCCAGGAGAGAGACTGCCAACTTTTGAACCTAATTAGAACAAGTATATTGCTTCTTCATATTTTTATTAAGGCAAAGAGAGTCTAGTTAAAAATAATTCAACTTATCTTGGAAATGCTATAAATTGCTGTGAAGTGAGTTGCTGGCTATGGCTTGTCAGAGCAAATATATTGTACAAAACTTAGGGGAGAATTAGTGCTTATGCATTAAAATCAAATCATCTTGCAGCACACTGAGAAAAAGGTTAGATTTTTAAAATAATTTCAAAGTCATGAAAAGAGCAAATATGCTCAACAAAGAGCCTAGCAACCCTCAATGACCAGTTCCCCTTTTATATAATTTGGTATCTGAATTAGAATCCCAGAATCTACAAATTCCTCTGGGTGTGGGTGCTGCATTTTGAGGATTTTATAACACTGCCATCACCAAGCTCTCTTTTGATATTCACTTTAAGGAGATAATTTACGGGCAACCGAAGAGCATAAACCAAAGTAGATATCTATCTAGATAGATAGATACATCTCCATATCATTGACAGGATACCTTCTGGCCAAGTGTGAGTACAACCTATGGGTGTGGCTGGAGAGAACATGTGTTCCACCTGAATGGCAGATCAAGATTATTCCTTCTCATCTGCTGCAATGGCTCAATGTGTTAAGGAGAGGAGCGAGACAGCAAGAACTGCATTCATTCAGTCATACAGACCAGAAGGAGGAATGTCGCCCAGCCCTCTACACTGACACAGAACCCAGCTCATGTCTCAACTGCTACCTCTACTACTTAGAAAGAAGTAACTCCACCAAAGCAGGGTTCTGGACAGATGTATTTTTATTGATCATATACAAATAGATGAAGATGGGCTTGGATGTTAAGAAAAATAATACTATACAAAATCAAGAGTAGACAGTCGCCCCTAGACTTAAATTAAGAGTGTGTACATTAGATAATTTAATCCAATGTATCAGGTAAAAACTTGAAAAACCCTTTTGGCCTCTTCCATAAAATTCAGGGAAGCATGTCCTCCACAAAACATAATCAAAATATAAATGAAAGACTGGCTTAAGATGAAAGGAAACCTTATAAATGAAAAGAAGCCAGAGGAGAGGCACTTAACCGAGAATGAAAAAAACTGAATGGACAAAATAATTATGAGAAGATGAATCTTCAAGTCAGAAAGAGGGAAAAAAGCTCATTTGATACTATGGGAACTCAAAAGAGTGAACACAAATGTGAAAATTCCAAGAGTACAGAAAAGTAGCATAACTAAATTAAGAGCATGAGAAAATGTATACAATTCGGAGTAATAAGAACAGAAATCAAAAGTTAGTATTGTATGTTATATTTTTGTAGAGCAACACTGAATAAGAATGAAAACAAGAAGTAATACTAAATATGAACATATGGAGAACAGAATAATATTTTTAAAATTTTTAGTTTCTAAGTTTACCTGAAATTTTAATTTTGGTTTCTTATGTAATACCAGAGTGATTAGGAAGGTATTAGCTAATAACACTATTTTCAGTGATATTTT
The DNA here is from genome assembly GCF_000001405.40 of Homo sapiens. Lineage (NCBI taxonomy): Eukaryota > Metazoa > Chordata > Mammalia > Primates > Hominidae > Homo > Homo sapiens. The sequence goes on from NC_000018.10 coordinate 15,170,333, forward strand.
AAGTATTTGTCCTAGAAAAATTTCTATTTTTAAAAAATGTATATTTAAAAATACATTAAATGTGTATATACATCAATCATATGTATCAATTTCTGTTTTTTTTGAATTGCAAATGAAATTTGTATTTTTGTGTTCCTGGAATAAAATAAACTTGAATGGATTGTAACATATTATTCATGCTGTAATTCAATGTATTTGAATTCTTTAAGAATGTTACATTTATAGTTAACAGATAATGACCTATAAATTTTCTTTCATATAATGATGCTGTGAGACAATCTAAGAAGAATTAAAATTTAAATTCATGTATTCCTACTTTTTCCTCTGCTCTCTAACTGTAATATATTTTAATTACAGATGGAAGAACAGATAGGTGTTAGATAAATAGGTATATAATAGATTGATCATCCAAAATTCTTATTCTTATGGTTTTATGTAGTCAGTATTTACCTCTATTTTTCTACATGTTTATCCTTCCAATTTAGTTCATTACTTCCTGCACCTTTGATGTCATATACATAGCAGGAAATAACACATGGTGGCTGGGATGTAGAGAGAGCCACCGGATTTGTGAATAAAAACCACAGGCAAGGATGTGGCGATTCCTTTTGCAGTATTGGAGGGAATGCCAAACGCTATGTTTGCTGTGGAAAAGAGTATGGTAGTTCCTCAAAACATCAAAATGGTATTGCCATATGATTCAGCAGCGCCACATCTCAGGATAGCAAAAGAATTGAAAGCAGAGTCTTGAAAAAATATTTGCACATCCATGTTTGCAGCAGCGTTATTGGCAATAGCTAAAACTTAGAAGCAATTGAAGTGTCCAACAACAGATGAATGGATAAGTACAATATTAAATATACACACAATGGAATATTATTCAGCCTTAAACATGAGGGAAATATTCTGACATATGTTGCAGCTTGGATGAAACTTGAGGATATTATGCCAAGTGAAATAAGTTAGTCAGTGAAGGACAAATACAGTATAATTCCATTTGTATTAAAGTGGACAGAATCATAGAGATAGTACAATGATGGTTGCCAGAAGCTGGGGGGAGGAAGAAATGGGGAAGTATTGTTTAATGGGTATACAGTTTCAGTTCTACAAGATGAAACGAGTTATGGAGATGGATGGTAGGGACGGCTGCACAATGTTATGACTATATTTAGTACCACTGAACTGTACACTTAAAATGGTTAACAGAGTACATTTTATGTTATGTGTATTTTACCACAATAAAAAAATAAAATACCTTAGGAACATTTTCCTGAAAGAGTCCACATAACATTCATTTTAATGCGTGTGTTTATGCATAGCTTTCTATTTTTCTCTTTTCTATTTATATTCCAAATTAGAATATAATGGTCATCAAACATAGTGGCTGTGTTTCTTGCTTCATCTAGTCTGCAGGTAGCATACAAATGTAATAAACTACTTATTCATGTCGCATCTATTTATTTTCTGCCTTATACCAAGCTTGTGGGATTCTCTTAAATACAACATTTTTATACTTACACCTAGGCAATACCCATTAGCATCGCCTTCCTAAATCAGGGGAAATTGAGCCTCTGTAAGGTGGAGTAACTTACTAAGATACAAAACTCAGCATTAAAGTCTGTATACTTCAATATCCTGCCCTCTTCTCATTTGTCTTTACTGCCTTTTATGTATGTGTTAGATGTTCAATAAATTCTCTTTTTTAAACTGAATTTAAGCCGTGGAGCAGTGTTTTGTTGAACAATAAATATGATATAGGACACTCTTCCTCCCTTTCATTTATGATCCAGTTCATGAAAAAGAGAAATTCTTTCATTGTGCTAGAAGCTTAAAATAATGAAAATGCCACTTTCTACATTAAACAGAAACTGAAGGGAATCAAGGTGAATTGCATGAGACATAGAAAACAAGTGGGAAAGAAATCTAGTATAATTTGCCCTTTGTGTACCTTTATTATTTAGCGTTTAAGTAAATGTTTCCCCCAAATATCTTCCCATCTTAATTCATGTCTATGAAGTAGACATTTATGTCTCACCTTGTCAAGAAGGGCAAACTCTAACATAAACATTTCCCAAAAATGCTTTCTGCTAAAACATAAGCTCAGTCTGGCTAGAAATGGAGCTCACTTCATAAAGATTAATTGGTAGCTAATCTTTGCATGCTGTTCTCTGAACCTGAGTGAAAGCTGTCCATCAGGCATACAGGGAATGACGGAAAAGGTGACAACAGAAGATGAATGCTATGTCACTAACCTTCAAAGATGACCTGCCTTTTCTTTCAAATTCTTGATATCTTAAGACTTCATTATTTCATCTCTCTTTGCCCTTGGTTCAACATTGTGCTATACCAAAACTCATGTAAAACGATGATCTAATGTAATAAAAATGGCATTTTTCTTTCATGTAGATGCAAGCTAACTGGCATTTTTACAATCCACATATTTCCTTTGTCAATTTTTCATTCTGTATTAGAAGTAATTGATAGGTATTTCTGAAGGGATGAAAGTGTTTCTGTGTTCATTGTGATCCAAACTATTTTTAGACCTAGGGGCATTTGTAAAACAATTTGTGCCAGCTGACCAAGGACCACTGTGGCAGAAAGCAGCAAACTTGCATAAGATATCACTACCTCATAAGTTGGCTTTGAAAACTAGGGGCTTACTCCATAGTCTTATGAATCAAAGACATTGATAGATGTAGTATAAGATTACAATCATATTTTCCTTTTGACAGTCACATTATAAAGCATGATGTATTGCAATTAATCTCAATTAGCTGATCACAATTAAAATTAATGTTTATTATTGCTGATAAACAATCATGACTCTCCTGTTCTCAAATGTGCAAGTAATTCTTGTAATTTTAATACAAATTTGCATATTATTACTAATTGATTTAATATCATTGGATTTGGTTCATGGATCCAATTTATTAAAATATTGGTAATGGGATAATGATTTGTCTCTCCATTTCATGTACACTAAAAGCCACAATTCTTACAATGGTCTGCAAGCCCGTCATGATCTGCTGCATGTTAACCACCAAAATTCTTTTATATCTTCACCCTTGATCTTACCAGTGGTCCTGGCCACCTCACTGTCCTCTGGACATGCATGTTTGCTGCTGTCTTATGACCAAGACTCTAGTTAATTTCTTGGCTTGGAAAGATAGCCCTCCATATATCCATTGATCAGCTCGTTCAACTTCCTCAAGTCTTTACTGAAACCTCACATTCTCGATGAGACCTATTCAGTATTTCAAACTGCCTCCCAGCTGTAACATTCCCAAACCCCTTACTCTTCTGTGTATTTTTGAAAGGATTTAGTGAGATATAATTTACATAGTGTAGAGTGCACACATTAATGTCTACAAGTCAGTGGCTTTTAGTATATGCACAGATAAGTGGAGACATCATCACAATGAGTATTAGAGCATTTTCATCACTTCAAAAAGAAACCCCACCTTCTTTAGCTGTTAACCTCCTATGCACCCATCCCCTACTCAATCCTAAGCAACCACAAATCTGTTTTCTGTCTCTATAGATTTTCCTATTCTATTTTCATCTAAATAGAATCATACAATAGGTGGCCTTTTGTGCCTGGCTTCTTTCAGTTGGCATAATGCTATCAAGGTTCATATACGTATTGGTACTTTATTTCTTTTTATAACTGTAGAACATTCAATTTCATGGATATAACATTTTGTTTATCCAATAATATTTTTATTGACATTTGAGTTGTGTTCAGCCTTTGGCTATTTTAAATACTGCTGCTAAAAATACTTGTGTACAATTTGTGTTTGAACACCTCTTTCCAATAATCTGGGTGTATACCTAGGAATAAATTTCTTGGTCATATGACAATTCTATGTTTAATATATTTAGAAGCCATCAAACTATTTTCCAAAGTGGCCAGTTCTAGCCATAGAGTATCTAACTGTGGTTTTGATTTGTAGTTGCCTGATGAGTGATGCTATTGAGTATCTTTTTATGGGATTATTGACCGTTCGTGTATCTTCTTGGGAAACACATCTATTCCTATCATTTATCAGTTTTGAGTTGGGATATTTGTTACTGAGTTAAAACAATTTTTCTATATTCAAGATACATATATATACAGACATATAGACACGTGTTTTTCAAATATCTTCTCACAATTTTTGAGCTACCTTTTGACTTGCTTGGTTGTCCTTTGAAACATCAATGTCTTTAATTTTTAAGAAATTTTAAATATCTAATTTTTATTTTGTTGCTCACGTTTTTGGTGTTACAGCTATTTCTTTGCTAGATCCAAAATCCTGAAGATTTTCCCATATGCTTTATTCTAGCTCTTGCATGTATGTCTTTAATTCATTTGAGTTAATATTTTTGTATGCTTTGGGGTAAGGGTTCGAATTTATTATTTTGCAAGTGCTGATCCATGTGTACGTTGTTGACCCAGCTTGTTCAAGACTGTCTCTTCCTCATTGAATTGCACATGGCACCACTGTAAGAATCCATTGACTATAGATACATAGTTTTATATATGGACTCTCAATTCTCTTCCATCAATCTATATATTTTTCCTTCATCAGTATTGTGTTGTCTTGATTACTGATGCTTTGCAGTAAGGTTTGCAGCACGGGGGTGTGAATTATCCTATTATGTTTTCTTTTTTCAAGGTTATTTTGGCTATTTTAAGTCCCTTACGATTCCATGTGTATTTTAGAATCAGCTTGTCAGTTTCTAGACAGAAGTCTGTTGGGATACTTGTAGGGATTTCATCAAATCTGTAGTTCAAATTGTAAAGTACTACAATATTAAATCTTCCAATTCATGGCTGTAAGATGTTTGCTAATTATTTAGATGTTCTTTAAACAATAATTTTTAATTTTCAGAGTAAAATATTGTATCACATTTTCCAAATTAATTATTATTTCTTTTTTGATGCTATTGTAAATTGAAGTGTTTTCTTAATTTCATTTTGGGGTTTTCATTGTAGATGTGTGCAATTGATTTTTGTATATTTATCTTGTATGCTGTAATATTGCTGAAATAATTTACTAGTTCTGTCGTTCAGTGGATTCCTTAAAATTTTCTATATACAAGAATGTTATTTGCAAATAAAGTTTTATTTCTTCCTGTTCAATATGGCTGACTCATTTCTTTAGTTGCCGATTTGCCATGCATAAAATCTTTAGTACAGTGTTGACTAGAAGAGGTCAAAGTATATATCCTATTCTTATCTCTGACCATAGCGGGAAAGTATCATTTCTTTTACCATTAAGTTGCATGTTTGCTGTTGGCTTTTCACAGGTGCCATGTATCTGGTGTAGAAAGTTCTCTAATCCTCGTTCTTTGAGTTTTTATTTTTATTTTTAATCATTAAAGCATTTGGATTTTGTTAAATGTCTTTTCTGAATCTATCGAGTTGATCATGCAATTCTCGTTTCTTATTCTATGGATAAGATGCATTACCTTAATGGATTTTGGGCTGTTTAACCAACCTGGGATTACTTGTATAAATTTCACTTTGTCATAGTGTATAATTCTTTTATATGTTGCTAGATCTGATTTGTTAGTATTTTTTAAGGAATTTTGCATTTATACTTATAGTAGTTTTATTTTTCTAGGCTATTTGGACTAATTTTTGTATCAAGGTAACACTGGCCCCACAGAATAAATTGGGAAGTGAATATTTCTCTTTTTTAAAAAAGCTAGTCAAGAATTAATATTAATTATTCAATACTAACAAATATTATTGTTATAAATTATTAATTTCTCTAATTTTTATTTTCTTCCTTCTGCTTGCTTTAGGTTTAGTTTGCTATTTTTTCCAGTGCCTTAATGTGGAAGGTCATCTTATCTCATCCTTTCACTTGTCTTTTCATTTTCTAAATAGTGTCTTTTTAGCATCAGGTGAGCTCCCCAGGTTGGTAGTACTCCATGTTTACTGCTGTACAACAATGACAGGTAATATGTCCTGAAGACAATGGAAACTTAACATTCAAAATCCTCCTAGATTCCACCTTATATGATATGTCTCTTCCTTTAATTGGTCCTAATTTCTACCCTTTCTGTATTATAAACCATGAATACAATGGCATTCAGTGAGTTCTGTGAGTCTTTCTAGTAAATTCTTGAAACTGAGGGTGTTCAGGGGAAACCCCTGGACTGGCAGTTGGTGTCAGAAGTGAGAATCGTCTTATATGGCCTCTTCCTTTGAACTTTGCAGCTGGACCCAAACTCTGCACAATTTGGGCCAGAAGTCTCGTGTTGACTTTGCAGCCTAAAGTATCTTGTAGTTTGTCTAACCCTCAATAAATTTGCTTTCATCAAATATTGTATTTGTTACCCCAAAATTACCATCATGTTTTTTTTCTCCAAATAGCTAACATTGGGAGAAATAGACAGCTGAATCTGTAACTCAACAGAAACAAGTGATCCATATACCATATACCATGTAAGTGGCCATTTTGCCTCCTTCCACCAAATCTTAGCAACCTCAACCATTGCCATGAGCCACTGTAGGCCTACCGGCTACAAACAAACAAGTATCTTTTAAAAACACTTCATATTCCCATTTGATAAATTTCCCAGCAAAGAGATGCCTACTTTAACTCTATGCAAGTGGCTCATATTCTCGAAGTCTGGAGATATTATTCATGTAGTGTGAGAAAATCATCCCAGCGATGCCAGCACAATCTCCTTCCCATAATCTGCTTAGTTTGCAAACATATTCAGGCCATGGGTGAGAGATTTGTATTTCACAGTACAACAATTTTATGGAGGGCATTGAAACTTAGATTGAGCATTTTAGTACAGTCACACATCACTGAATGATAGGGATATGTTCTAACAGATGCATCCATAGGCAATTTCATTTTGCAAATGTCAGAGAGAATATTACAAACACATAGATTGTACAGCCTACCACGTCTGGAATATATGGTATAGCCTCTCTCTCCTAGGCTACAAACCTGTGTACTACATTACTTTACTGAATACTGCAGGCAATAAGAACACAGTGGTAAGAGTTTATGTATCTAAACATACTTAAATGTAGAAAAGTATGTAAAAATATGTATTATAATCTCATAGGACCACTTTTGTATATGTAATCCATCTTTGACTGAAATGTTATTATGCATGACATGACCCTATGACAAAAATAAAATAACACATTGTAAAAAATGTACACATGTATCAAACATATTATTATAAAAATAAAAATATTTATTCAGTGTAAGAATTTGTAATGATCAAAAAGTGTTCACAGCTTATATTTTAGTACAGTTTCAAATGCCTAGTGCAATTACTATTTATTTCTTTGTGTATCTTAAACATGTATAAAATAAATATTTTTCAGGTTCAACAATATATATCAATCCAACTGGCTCTTATAAATATTAGTTAAAATCAATTAGTAAATTCATATATATATATACACACATGTGTATCAGTGTGTGTGTATGTATGTGTGTGTAAATGTAACTGTATGTGTGTGTAAATGTAACTGGATGCATCCTAATATTTACCCTTACCTACAAGATTTCCAAGATGCATTTATTATCTTTAGATGATGTGCATTTAAAGATTTACCAAATAAAACTGTAATCGTGGAAAATATCAAGATGTTATTAAATTCATCTTGTGCACATAATTGTTTCTTTACATTTATGTTTCTTGCAAAACTTGCAGTAATGCTCATGCACAAAATAATTTTCTAAATAAAAAATAAAAACATTTTCTCAGTCATTAATTCTTAATAATTATTTCTCCCCAATAATTAATGTGAATTCTTAAATCTTAATTATAGAATAATGTTGCCCTTCAGAGTTCTGAATCTTTTGCATGTTGTATACATTTCATTAACTAGAACAACTTCTGGAATATTGGCATTAATTAATGTCACTCAGCAATTATTGATTTCGAAGAAATTAAATAACATTCATATTCTGAATCACAAGGGTATTTTGGCATCTAATTTAATCAAGCTCTTTGTAGCATCATCTACACTTTAATTACTTAACAAACATTTCTCTGTGTGAGAAAGATTGAGCAGGTTATTGTGCTTTTTTAAGATGCAACTTTTGCTTAATCTAGAGATAGGCAATGCTCCCTATAAGGAACAAAGAGAAAAATGAAAGAGCAATAGAGATGTGACAGGCATGGAAAAAGACAATACATTTGTAAAACAAATAGGGCCACAGATGACGATAATGGGGATCAAATCTTGAGATACTGACTCAGTTTATAAACGCACTGTACAATAGAGCAAATCATTTGTTAATTTTTTTACAAATGGAATTTAATTTAATTAAGATGAATACAGTGTTTTAAACAAGGCAGGTCATCTTAAAATAAAATAGTGGAATAAAGTGATAAAACCAATGTAAAAATCATAAACATTTTATAAAGAATTTTTGTGATGTAATTTAATATTTTTCTTTATTTAAAATCACCCAAATCAAAATAATTTTATCTTAATTAACAAATAATCATCAGAAGTTAACTAATTTTTACTTTATAATACTAGGTTTAAAAATTCTTAACTATAGTTTTAATCATATATACTTATCATAAAATAGACATAGGGTATATATTTACATGTTCACAATATTATATTGTAATTGTTCCTATGGATGTGGCTTTTCAATAGAATTAATAAGTACTTTTAAAATATTTCAATTTCAATGATATATATGTTTGATTTTTCTTTGACAAAGCATACATATATTGATAGGTAATAATAAGAAAATCTTCTAAAGACATTACAGGAACATGAATATGTAATTAAATCCTCAATAATTTGTAAAGTTTTATGTAAGTGGAACACATTTAACTGAAAATTGCTTTTATATAATACTCAAACGAGACTAAAAACATATTAACTAGTGGAGTAAGTCTTCAAATTGATAATCTGAACTATATAAGAGGAGAAACTTCAGGCACTCAAATATTTGAAATGCTACAAAATATTTATATAAACTATTATTTAACAATTTCTGTTTGTAGAATGCTATACAGTAATCAATATAAATGACATCTCAAGTCTTTCTATAGCTTTGACCACATTTACCTCCTAATTTTAATTATTAATATGTTGGAGCAGTGCATACAACTAGATTCCGATCTTCCTTTTTAATGAGTAAAAATATGTCCATTGAGACAGCATTAAAGAAAGAGCACCTTGTATAAATTCAATGCCAAGAGACAAGATATTCTTGATTCTGAAGTCTTGTTCTTTTATACAGCAATGTAATTAATAATAAGAAGAAAAGCAGAACATAGATGTGGAGTCTATTTTAATCAAAAATTGTCTACAGATTTTGATGATAAAATTTAAAAATCTACTATATTTAGTTAGTTACAAAAAACTATTTGGTCAATAAAACACCCCTACCAAATGCTGACAAGAAAAAAAGTTAGGTACCATCTTTCTTCTCTGCAGATGGCCTGAGATGGGTTAATTTGAAAGAATGCTTCCAAACCTGAGGTGACCCCTGAGAACAGCATAATCCACTGCTGTCTCCTACATTCAGTTTCTCAGTCTGTGCTCTTTTAATTTTGGGGTGAGGGAAGCCAGTCCTTTAAAGCGATCTTCAGCATGATGGCAGAGCCAAGGAGTGTGGACAGGTTGCACGGTGTCTGACTTTGTTCCAGCAGCCACTTGGGCTTTCTCTGGGTCTTCTCTGCCCTAGGGATAGCACTACTATTGAAAACATGTCTTTGTGACATTCTCTATGCCAGGAACTCCCAACACATTTTCCTTGAAACTGATGAAATGAATAAATATAAACCAAGAGGTGTGCTGTTTGTTTCTGTTTCCTCCTTTCTGCAGCCCTTCTTGATCATGTAATATTTTTAAATACGTTGTCGATCACCAAAAGGAGCATAAGGGCTTTATTGATTTGTAGCAGATGTATTAATAGCCCAGCCCCTATTCCTTACCTGTAGCTGCTGGGAAGAAAAACATTCTTAACACTCTACAAGGTCTCATCTCCAGAATTTGCACCTGTTTCTAGCTGAGGACTTTCTCTAGCAGCACGGGAGCTTGTTACTGGGCATGAAGTGGGAAGAAGAGGTGAGGGTAACTAAGAAGAATCTCCCTGGATTCAGTGATGTAATTCTGAGGCATGTTCCACATAGCTTCCCATAAAATTAAGCCCAGATATCTAACACAGGAACTTGCCTCTTAACACATGTGGTATTGGCTTTTCTATCTTTCCTGTTTTATTTTATTCTCTCTTCCTTGTCTCACTTTTGCTGTGTCCTCACTCCTGCTTTAAGAATACCCAAACAAATACATTCATTTATTTTTTTAGACTCTCAGAACACAGTTGATAGTTGAACTTGTAATCTATGATAATCAGCTCGGATGCTATACTGAAAGGAAGATGGTGAACTCACAATGTCTAATTAAGATAAAATTCAAAAAATATATTGATTCATGTCCAAAAATTTAAAAAACCTAAGCGGCAGTGTCATAATTTCTTCTTTTTAGTTTACATGGTTTCTTAAATGCCTACAATTATTTTAAAGGAAGTCTTGAGTCTAGGAAAAATTGAGATATAGGGAATAAATTACTAACCCATTTCTCCTTGAAATCCATTAGATGCTTGATGATTTTTCACATATATTTCTGAATTGAAAAGCTAGTTGGGAATTATTTGTATAAGCATATCCTTATGTAATATTTTGTTTTTAACAGTGATTTGAAGGTTTAAAGATTAAATTATTCTATCCAGAGAATAAAAAGCAATTATTTCACAAGGAGAACATGTGTATGTTGACAAGACATTTTAAAATCTAGATTTTAAAATAGGTCCCATATACTTTTGAGTCAATTAGAATATGTATGTATCAGTCTGTCTACAGTTTTACACCTGTCAAAAGGTACTTGAACTACAAGAAGTACCTTGATCAATTTTGAAATTTATTATTCCTCTGAAACTGATTAAAAGAATTATGGTAGAGTGAAATTCTGATTGGCATAATTTGGGAGAGAAATTATTCCTTGGAGATCAACCTCTGCCAAGATAGTTTATAATGACATTGAGACTTTTTGATTTACAAAATTTGTTATATAAAAAATACTAAGACGATGATAGATAATACACACTTTAATTAAAATTGTACTAAAATTAAATGTCTAAATAAATTACAATGGTACATGGTACATCTAAATGTATGTTTATATATTTTATTTGTGCATTTTATTCCTAGGGTTGCTTTTGCTTTAGTTTGTAAAACATTATTATTTTTATGATAATGTAGTATATACTAAATAAAGAAAAATCAGGAAATAGAAAATGAAGAAGAAAACATTAGCTATTGTCAACCAAATAAAAATTGTGCAATCTCTAAACACATGAACTATGTAATATTTGTACAGCATGTACAATGTTTATGCTTCACAGGGTGAGGTAGAGACTGCAAAACATTGAACCTGGGACAAATAAGAAAGTAAGGAAATTTTCACAACATATTAATATTATAGAAAATGTTGAACTTAACAGTTAAGATACAAGTAGTGAAAAATGATAGTATTTAAGGAGATCTAGAAAATTTAATCTATATCTCTAATGCATGAGAAGTATTAGAATAATGCTTGTATTTCTGGATTGGCATCGATTTCTATTGAGACTGGAAACATAATAGAAGTGAGGGGAAAAGAATTTAAATTGTGGATACTTGAGTTTTATAGCTAGGAGTTTGAGAAATACATTTTGTTACTATCAAAGCAGTTGGCACAAGAGTGTACAAAATTCCCTAATTGTGTCTATGTGGAGAAGACATAGACAAACAGAGAATAGCAAAACAGAAATAGCAAAAAAGTACAAATAAATTTTACCTGTATTTTTATGTAAAAGCCAATTAGAGTAGGAAAACATGAAATTTGTGTTTTATCAAAAGTTTTCTCTTTCTTATAGTATAGTTGATTATATTACTGGAAAAAAATTGAAGCATTGGTATGTTCACACAAAAAAAGTAAAATATAAGGTCAAAACCATGGGAATGCAGGGAGCAGACAAAATATACCTAAACACCGAAACCAATTTTGCCCTACGGACATGTAGCAAAATGAATGAGTGCAGATTCCTACTGTCATACATCACATAGGACAGTAAAGAAATACATAGGTTTTTCCAAGATAGAGCATCACACAGGAGCTCTACCCTAAAGCTAGGACCAAAATTTATATCCTCAGTATAAAGAAGAATCAGAGGTAAATTAGTCCCATTTCACATTCCCTGGAAATGGCAAATAAAAATGGCTTGAGATTGGACAGATTTAAAGAAACTCAATCATTAATGATTTACAGCAATTAATTTAAAAATTGTTTAACTGTGCAGTCCAAACATGTCCAAACACCTTTAGGCCAAGAATTAATACAATGTGGTCCCAGAATGGTGGTGCCTTTAGTAGACTCACAAAAAAATTCAAATTCTCTTTGGCAAATTTTCTTCTTACTAATACACAAAAGTGCACCATAATAATTTTCAGAGAAAAATAAATATTTGTCATTCAAAGGCATCTAAGTACACAAGGAAATGATATTCCACCATTTGAAAGGAAAGCAGAAAAAGAGTACAAACAGATCCACAAAGGTTCATTAGTAGAAATATCACTGTTAGATTATAAAGTACATTTGCTTTCAAAAAATTTTAAAAAAAATGAATATATTTTTAGGAGACTAAAAAATTGATGTAGCAAATTTGAAAAGTAGTTTGTATAAAAACATAGTATTTTAAATTAAAAACTCAAAAATGAACTCATCAGATTAGACATGGCCATGGTGAGAGTTCATAAATATTTCAGAGTGCATTACAGAAAATTTTTAAAAAATGCACAATGTGGACAGAATCATGAAGAGACATGGAATATACAGTGAGAAAGTGCAGCATGTGTTTAGTGAGTGTTCTCATAGAAGAAGGGAACTGGGAAGGGACAATATGTGATGGTATTTTGGCTGAAAGTTCTCTAGACTTTTGTAAGACACTAATCCGCATATTCAAAAATTCCATGCATGCTAAGCAAGCTATAATGGAGATAAACCTACATCTACGTATCTCCTAGAGAAATAATAAAGAATCAGGAAGGGAAAAATATTTCAATTAGCACTAGAAAAATCAAATTACCTTTAATCATATTGAAATCTGAAAGAATGAAAAGTAAAATAAACAATATTATTTGTTAAGAATAATAATGCCATTCTGAAATTCTCAACCAAGAAAAATATTCATCAACCTATGGCTAAATAACATATTTAGAGACAAAAAACAAAATACCACCAGCAGAATTCCACCAAAGAAACTAAAAAGAAACCCTGAAAACATGCTTCAGAAAGGTTGAAGTTCTGAAATCAAAGAATGAACATAGAGCAAAATATACTGTAAACATACAGATAGATCTAAATAAAAAATTAGGTGTTGAAACAAAAAGATATTTAAAATTAGATAACCACTGCAATATGTATGTTAGGAAGCAAATTATTAGGGCTGAAGTATGCAAAGACCCCTTAATTGTCCGACAAGAGCTGAAAGGTGAGTATGACTTTGCAACTCTTTTTTTTTTTTTTTTTTTTGAGAAGGAGTCTCACTCACTCTTTCTCCCAGGCTGGAGTGCGGTGGCGCCATCTCTGCTCACTGCAACCTCTGCCTCCCAGGTTCAAGCAATTCTCCTGCCTCAGCCGCCTGAGTAGCGGGGATCACAGCCGCGTGCCACCATGCCTGGGCTAATTTTTGTATTTTTAGTAGAGACGGGGTTTCACCATGTTGGTCAGGCTAGTCTCCAACTCCTGACCTCGTGATCCACACGCCTCGGCCTCCCGAAGTGTTGAGATTACAGGCGTGAGCCACTGCGCGCGACCGACTTTGGAACTTTAATAAATTGACTGGACATTATGCATTTCTCTGTTGTATCTATGAAAACGGTAAAAATAAAAGTCATAAATTAAAAACAAGAAGACAGAAACTGATAGGAGAAAATGAGACATGATATATATATATGTATATATATATATATACAACAAATTAATAAAACAAATTAAGTATAAATGATCAAAGATTAACTTAAACCTAAGTAGAGAATGTTTTTGTTAAAATACAAAGATTGGCAAATTAAAAAAATCCGTCTCTATCATAGTTACGAGAGGCAACTAATATATAAATTTACAGAAACTTTGAAGTTCAAACAATACAGATACTGTGTATATATGATATACATACAAATATACATGAATATAATTTTTTAAAAAGTTGCTATGTAGACAAAATAGAATGTAAGTTAGAAACATTTATTAAAATAAGTTAGTCTAACCAGTGTGATAAAAGTTTTAAGTTATTAAGATGTGATGACTTAAGTGTGCATTAGCCTGATACATATATACATATATACACACACACCACACACTCTCTCTCTCACACACACACATATTTAGAGAGAGAGTCAAATTATATAAAGCAAAAATATCAGAAAGTAAGTAGAAATGGATAAGCCCCCAAATCATTATAGACATTTCAAACACATATCTTTCAGTAATAGATAAAAGAAAAAATTAAAAGAGTAAGTTTTAAAAGAAGCTAGTGGATTTTAAAAAGGGCAAATATTATATAAGGAACATGAATATTATAATTCATGTTATTTTCATGTTCATACAGAATACTTACAAAAATTAACATTTTCTAGACCATATCACAAATTCAAACAATTTTCACGGAAATAAGGTGACACAGAATATATTTCATAAACAAACAGCAATGAAGGTAGATATCAATACAAAAAAGAAAGCTAGAAACATAAGTCTAATAATACTGGTTGGAAGCTACTTTAATGAATATTGAAATATTTTAAAGGTGAATAGTCAATACAAATGAACCAAACACTTTTGTAAGGCCACTAAGATGCATGTGTAATGCATAATGCCTCCTTTTATAAGGAGTAAATCTGTAACATCACCTGGGCTATTTGATAACTGCAAAGTGAATGTGAGAAGGAAACAGTGAGAGAGAGAGAGAGATAAAACCAGTAAAATAAACATAAAGAATGAAGGAGATAGCCAGGCACCATGGTTCATGCCTGTAATCCCAGCACTTTGGGAGGCCGAGGCAGGTGGATCACCTGAGGTCAGGAGTTTGAGACCAGCCTGGTCCAACATGGTGAAACCCACTCTCTACTAAATATACAAAAATTAGCCTGGCATGGTGGTATGCACCTGTAATCCCAGCTACTCAGGAGGCTGAGGTGGGAGAATTGCTTGAATGTGGGGGGTGGAGGTTGCAGTGAGTAGAGATCACGCGACTGCACTCCAGCTTGGGCAACAGAGCAAGACTCCGTGTCAAAAAAAAAAAAAAAAAAAAAACAAACAAACGAGGAAATAGTACATAAAAAGCAGAATTAAAGCAACTGAGTATATATTTAAAAATGCAAAGCTCACTTTTTCAGAAAACCACTAAAATATTAAATCTAACAAATATCTAGGTAGACTGATGGAGAAAAATACAGAAAATGCACAAAAAACCAATTACCTGGAATGCGAAGGTTACAAAACGTCAGCAGTTGTAGATTTTAAATAAGCAATGACTTTTGAGTTGAACCATGATGGGGTATATTGAAAAGAATCTCTCAGAAAAAAAGAAAAAGAAAACCATTATAAAGCTAAGTACAAAATGTTAAGCACTATTAAAGTCTTCCAATTCTACCAGTTATGTAGTTATTGGTCTTGGACTAACTCTCCTGAAAAGAAGAAAACAAAACAAAACCTAATAACCTGGATAAAATGGCCTACCGTGGGCACTGGCAATGCAACCAAGCAGGTAGGACATGGGTGCTACATTCTCTTTGTCAGAATACAAAGCATTCATACACTCTTCTCACCCTCACTCTCACCTTTTAATCTTAGATCTACAATTAAATGTATTCAACATTACTATCAATCCTTTGGTCAAAATTTCTTTACTCATATTTTGCTTGATGCACTTGGATAGACTGTTCAAGAAAGTGTGAGTAGTGAATTCCTCAAACTCTTGCATATTTAAAATCACATTTTTGAACCTTGATGCCTGAAGTGTAGCTTGGGTAACAGGTGGGCTTTAAGCCAATTTTGGCATGCAAGGGGTTGAGTTTATTAGGCATCAGCACCTCTGAAAATCGTGGGGATGCAGGCTTAATTTCAACACTATTCTAAATATTTGAAAGATATTATATAATGCTTTAATAAACTCCTGTGTCTACAAATGGTTCATATTAACTCAATATCCATTATTAAGCATCTATAAAATCAAGGCACTGTTATTTAGTGGAGACTTGCTGGCTATTCTATGAGAGGAGGTATTGTTATTGTAATCTCATCTTCTCATAAATGTGTGTCATATTACTCATAACCAGCCCTTCATATTCTATTCCTATTTTGGTGTTTTAAAATAAGATATCTTTGAAACACTTGAATTCAAAGAGAGAATCTGAATATTTTTAAAATGTCAATGAAATGCCATTTCTTCATGCTTCAACAACTAAAAATTGACTAAAGTGCTTCTCTTCAAACTTTCTGGAATATTTTTTATCTAAATTCTAAGAACAATCACAATAGTTTTTAACCACAAATGTGAGAATATTCTAAATGTTAAGGTGGAAAAATTTTTTAAATAATTTTATAGTATTTTTTTTTTCATCATAGTGACAGTGTGCTAAAATTTTTTAAGTCAACTATTACTTTGTTCTCGTTGGTTTCAAAGAACGTCTTTATTTCTGCCTTCATTTCGTTATGTACCCAGTAGTCATTCAGGAGCAGGTTGTTCAGTTTCCATGTAGTTGAGCGGTTTTGAGTGAGATTCTTAATCCTGAGTTCTAGTTTGATTGCACTGTGGTCTGAGAGATAGTTTGTTATAATTTCTGTTCTTTCACATTTGCTGAGGAGAGCTTTACTTCCAACTATGTGGTCAATTTTGGAATAGGTGTGGTGTGGTGCTGAAAAAAAATGTATATTCTGTTGATTTGGGGTGGAGAGTTCTGTAGATGTCTATTAGGTCCGCTTGGTGAAGAGCTGAGTTCAATTCCTGGGTATCTTTGTTGATTTTCTGACTCACTGATCTGTCTAATGTTGACAGTGGGGTGTTAAAGTCTCCCACTATTATTGTCTGGGAGTCTAAGTCTCTTTGCAGGTCACTCAGGACTTGCTTTATGAATCTGGGTGCTCCTGTATTGGGTGCATATATATTTAGGATAGTTAGCTCTTCTTGTTGAATTGATCCCTTTACCATTATGTAATGGCCTTCTTTGTCTCTTTTGATCTTTGTTGGTTTAAAGTCTGTTTTATCAGAGACTAGGATTGGAACCCCTGCCTTTTTTTGTTTTCCACTTGCTTGGTAGATCTTCCTCCATCCTTTTATTTTGAGCCTATATGTGTCTCTGCACATGAGATGGGTTTCCTGAATACAGCACACTGATGGGTCTTGACTCTTTATCCAATTTGCCAGTCTGTGTCTTTTAATTGGAGCATTCAGTCCATTTAAATTTAAAGTTAATATGGTTATGTGTGAATTTGATGCTGTCATTACGATGTTAGCTGGTTATTTTGCTTGTTAGTTAATGCAGTTTATTCCTAGTCACGATGGTCTTTACATTTTGGCATGATTTTGCAGCGGCTGGTACTGGTTGTTCCTTTCCATGTTTAGTGCTTCCTTCAGGAGCTCTTTTAGGGCAGGCCTGGTGGTGACAAAATCTCTCAGCATTTGCTTGTCTGTAAAGTATTTTATTTCTCCTTCACTTATGAAGCTTAGTTTGGCTGGATATGAAATTCTGGGTTGAAAATTGGTTTCTTTGAGAATGTTGAATATTGGCCCCCACTCTCTTCTGGCTTATACAGTTTCTGCCAAAAGATCCGCTGTTAGTCTGATGGGCTTCCCTTTGAGGGTAACCTGACCTTTCTCTCTGGCTGCCCTTAACATTTTTTCCTTCATTTCAACTTTGGTGAATCTTGCAATTACGTGTGTTGGAGTTGCTCTTCTCGAGGAGTATCTTTGTGGCATTCTCTGTATTTCCTAAATCTGAATGTTGGCCTGACTTGCTAGACTGGGGAGGTTCTCCTGGATAATATCCTGCAGAGTGTTTTCCAACTTGGTTCCATTCTCCCCGTCACTTTCAGGTAGACCAATCAGACGTAGTGGGACACATACAAAGCAGTGTGTAGAGGGAAATTTATAGCACTAAATGCCCACAAGAGGAAGCAGGAAAGATCTAAAATTGACACCCTAACATCACAATTAAAAGAACTAGAAAAGCAAGAGCAAACACATTCAAAAGCAAGCAGAAGGCAAGAAATAACTAAAATCAGAGCAGAACTGAAGGAAATAGAGACACAAAAAGCCCTTCAAAAAATTAATGAATCCAGGAGCTGGGTTTTTGAAAGGATCAACAAAATTGATAGACCGCTAGCAAGACTAATAAAGAAAATGAGAGAGAAGAATCAAAGAGACGCAATAAAAAATGATAAAGGTATATCACCACTGATCCCACAGAAACACAAACTACCATCAGAGAATACTACAAACACCTCTACGCCAATAAATTAGAAAATCTAGAAGAAATTGATAAATTCCTCAACATGTACACTCTCCCAAGACTGAACCAGGAAGAAGTTGAATCTCTGAATAGACCAGTAACAGGATCTGAAATTGTGGCAATAATCAATAGCTTACCAACCAAAAAGAGTCCAGGACCAGATGGATTCACAGCTGAATTCCACCAGAGGTACAAGGAGGAACTGGTACCATTCCTTCTGAAACTACTCCAATCAATGGAAAAAGAGAGAATCCTCCCTAACTCATTTTATGAGGCCAGCATCATCCTGATACCAAAGCCAGGCAGAGACACAACAAAAAAAAGAGAATTTTAGACCAATACCCTTGATGAACATTGATGCAAAAATCCTCAATAAAATACTGGCAAAACGAATCCAGCAGCACATCAAAAAGCTTATCCACCATGATCAAGTGGGCTTCATCCCTGGGATGCAAGGCTGGTTCAATATACGCAAATTAATAAATGTAATACAGCATATAAACAGAACCAAGGACAAAAACCACATGATTATCTCAATAGATGCAGAAAAAGCCTTTGACAAAATTCAACAACCCTTCATGCTAAAAACTCTCAATAAATTAGGTATTGATGGGACGTATTTCAAAATAATAAGAGCTATCTATGACAAACCCACAGCCAATATCATACTGAATGGGCAAAAACTGGAAGCATTCCCTTTGAAAACTGGCACAAGACAGGGATGCCCTCTCTCACCACTCCTATTCAACATAGTGTTGGAAGTTCTGGCCAGGGCAATTAGGAAGGAGAAGGAAATAAAGGGTATTCAATAAGGAAAAGAGGAAGTCAAATTGTCCCTGTTTGCAGATGACATGATTGTATATCTAGAAAACCCCATTGTCTCAGCCCAAAATCTCCTTAAGCTGATAAGCAACTTCAGCAAAGTCTCAGGATACAAAAATTAATGTACAAAAATCACAAGCATTCTTATATACCAACAACAGACAAACAGAGAGCCAAATCATGAGTGAACGCCCATTCACAATTGCTTCAAAGAGAATAAAATACCTAGGAATCCAACTTACAAGGGATGTGAAGGACCTCTTCAAGGAGAACTACAAACCACTGCTCAAGGAAATAAAAGAGGATACAAACAAATGGAAGAACATTCCATGCTCATGGGTAGGAAGAATCAATATCGTGAAAATGGCCATACTACCCAAGCTAATTTAGAGATTCAATGCCATCCCCATCAAGCTACCAATGACTTTCTTCACAGAATTGGAAAAAACTACTTTAAAGTTCATGTGGAACCAAAAAAGAGCCCGCATCACCAAGTCAATCCTAAGCCAAAAGAACAATGCTGGAGGCATCACACTACCTGACTTCAAACTATACTACAAGGCTACAGTAATCAAAACAGCATGGTACTGCTACCAAAACAGAGATATAGATTAATGGAACAGAAAAGAACAGAGCCCTCAGAAATAACGCCGCATATCTACAACTATCTGATCTTTGACAAACCTGAGAAAAACAAGCAATGGGGAAATGATTCCCTATTTAATGAATGGTGCTGGGAAAACTGGCTAGCCATATGTAGAAAGCTGAAACTGGATCCCTTCCTTACACCTTATACAGAAATCAATTCAAGATGGATTAAAGACTTAAACGTTAGACTTAAAACCATAAAAACCCTAGAAGAAAACCTAGGCATTACCATTCAGGACATAGGCATGGGCAAGGGCTTCATGTCTAAAACACCAAAAGCAATGGCAACAAAAGACAAAATTGACAAATGGGATCTAATTAAACTCAAGAGCTTCTGCACAGCAAAAGAAACTACCATCAGAGTGAACAGGCAACCTACAAAATGGGAGAAAATGTTCGCAACCTACTCATCTGACAAAGGGCTGATATCCAGAATCTACAATGAACTCAAACAAATTTACAAGAAAAAAACAAACAACCACATCAAAAAGTGGGCAAAGGACATGGACAGACACTTCTCAAAAGAAGACATTTATGCAGCCAAAAAACACATGAGAAAAATGCTCACCATCACTGGCCATCAGAGAAATGCAAATCAAAACCACAATGAGATACCATCTCACACCAGTTAGAATGGCGATCATTAAAAAGTCTGGAAACAACAAGTGCTGGAGAGGATGTGGAGAAATAGGAACACTTTTACACTGTTGTTGGGACTGTAAACTAGTTCAACCATTGTGGAAGTCAGTGTGGCGATTCCTCAGGGATCTAGAACTGGAAATACCATTTGACCCAGCCATCCCATTACTGGATATATACCCAAAGGACTATAAATCATGCTGCTTTAAAGACACATGCACATGTATGTTTATTGCCACATTATTCACAATAGCAAAGACTTGGAACCAACCCAAATGTCCAACAATGATAGACTGGATTAAGAAAATGTGGCACATATACACCATGGAATACTATGCAGCCATAAAAAATGATGAGTTCATGTCCTTTGTAGTGACATGGATGAAATTGGAAATCATCATTGTCAGTAAACTATCGCAATAACAGAAAACCGAACACCGCATATTCTCACTCATAGGTGGGAACTGAACAATGAGATCACATGGACACAGGAAGGGGAACATCACACTCTGGGGACTGTTGTGGGGTGGGGGGAGGGGGAGGGATAGCATTGGGAGATATACCTGCTAGATGACGAGTTACTGCACACCATGCAGCACACCAGCATGACACATGTATACATATGTAACTAACCTGCACATTGAGCACATGTACCCTAAAACTTAAATTATAATAATAAATATTAAAACAAAACAAAAGAAAACAAAAAACTATTACTGTAGACATTTAAGTCAGGATTCTAAGAAGCTGTTCTAAATTCCAAAATTTAGTTTCATATAGTGATATTATATATATATTTGCATAAAAATTTAATACATGTGAGCCATGTTTCAAATAGTTGAGAGATTATTATATCAAAGATTCTTGATTATATAAAATGCCAATTACTTATAGGCACACATGCTTTAAATAATTACAAAGGCAGTTGTGGTTGATTCTACTCTTGCTACTGGCATTTTTATGGACATAATATTATGGTCTGAAGAATATTTAGGCAAATTTATCCCTCATATGATCAGAAGAACAATGCAAGATAGTTTATATCTGAAAAGAAAAAAATCTTTATATGGTTCTGAAAGCCTAAATCATTAACAACTTGGATAATAATTAGCATAAAAATACACAAACATGCCCTCTTCCTAGCAGTAAGTACACAGTGACAACAGAATCAAAGCATGTGGCTATGTGCATGTTTATATTTCAAGACGCAGAGCACTCTATTCCTCTTCTCTGCCCTTTCTAGATGGCACAATTCCTCATGAATCTAAGTGCTGTCATAGGGTGGATTAGGGTGACCTGCCATTTGTATGCAACTGATCTCTATTTTGGAAGTAATTAATGTAAAAATATATTTTTAAAAGATAATTTCAAATTTCAGGGCAAACTAGCATGGTTTCACCCCTTTTCTTTGTAACATTTTTTCTAAGTTTGGAAAAGTAAGGTAGGCTTTAGTACTATTTTTAATAATAAGTTTTCAAAGTGAGATGCAAAATGGTGGCGCCAACACATTTCAAATCTGCTACATTTTGAATACACTTATTGGAGAAAAGATCTTCTCATCATTTTTCTCTTACAGGAAAGGAAATAACATGTACAGTTGACCCTTAAGCAACATGGAGGTTGGGGTGCTGGCCCCCCTGCACAGTAGAAAATCCACAGTAACTGTGACTCCCCCAAAACTTAACTACTAATAGCCTACTGTAAGCTTTACAAATAACACAAGCAGAAATAAACACATATTTAATATGTTATATGTCTTATATACTATATTCTTAACATGTCAGTGAAAAGAAAAAGAAAATCATAAGGAAAATATATTTACTAGTTATTAAATGGAAGTAGATGATCAAACAGGTCTTCATCCTCATCCTTTTCATGGGCAGGGTGTGGAGAAGGATGTAGAATTGTTGGTTTTGCTAAGTGGACCTGCACAGTTCAAACCCCTGGGGTGCAAAGGTCAACTGTATAGCCATTGAATAGCAATTTATTTTTAGAAATTAACCTCACTAAAATACTCTTAGAAGGATGCCAAGAAAAAAAATGAATACGTATTTTGGGTTCATCTATTTCATCATTTCATTTCATTTCATCATTTCATTTCCTCATTTTATCATTTCATTTCATCTTTTCATTATTTCATCTCATTATTTCATCATTTCATTTCATTTCATTCTTTCATTTCATTATTTCATCTCAACATTTCATTTCATCATTTCACTTCATCTCATTATTTCATCATTTCATCTCATGATTTCATTTCATCTCATTTCATCATTTCATTTCATTCTTTCATTTCATTTCATCATTTCATCATTTCACTTCATCTCATTTCATCATTTCATCTCATGATTTCATTTCATCTCATTTCATTTCATCTTTTCATCTCGTCATTTCATTTCATCATTTCATTTCATCTTTTCATCTCATTTCATTTCATCAATTCATCATTTCATCTCATCATTTCATTTCATTGTTTCATTTCATTTCATCATTTCATTTCATCACTTCATCTCAACATTTCATTTCATCATTTCACTTCATCTCATTTCATCATTTCATCTCATTTCATCATTTCATCTCATGATTTCATCTCATTTCATTTCATCTTTTCATCTCATCATTTCATCTTTTCATCTTATTTCATTTCATTTCATTTCATTTATTTCATCATTTCATCATTTCATTTCATCATTTCATCATTTGACTTCATTTCATCATTTCATTTCATCATTTCATATCATTTCATCATTTCATCTTTTCATTCCATCATCATTTCACTTCATTTCATTTCATTTCTTCATTTCATCATTTCATTTCATTTCATCCTTTCATCATTTCATCTCATCATTTCATCCTTTCATTTCATTATTTCATTTCATCATTTCTTCTCATCATTGCATTTCGTCATTTCATCATTTCATCATTTCACTTCATCTCATCATTTCATCATCTCATGATTTCATTTCATATCATTTCATCTTTTCATCTCGTCATATCATTTCATTTCATCTTTTCATCTCATTTCATTTCATTTGATCATTTCATCAATTCATCATTTCGTCATTTCATTTCATTATTTCATCATTTAATCATTTCACTTTTTATCATTTCATCATTTCATATCATTTCTTCATTTCACCATTTGATCTTTTCATTTCATTTCATCATTTCACTTCATCATTTCATTTCATCATTTCATTTCATTCCCTCATTTCATTTCACCATTTCATCATTCCATTTCATCATTTCATTACATTTCTTCATTTCACTTCATCTCATCATTTCATCTTTCATTGCATTATTTCATTTCATTTCATCTCATCATTTCACTTCATCTCACCATTTCATCATTTCATCTCATCATTTCATTTCATCATTTCATCTTTTCATCTCCTCATTTCATTTAATCATTTCGTTTCATTTCACCTTTTCATCTCATTTCATTTCATCATTTCATCACTTCATCATTTCATTTCATTATTTCATAATTTCATCATTTCACTTCATTTCATCATTTCATTTCATCATTTCATATCATTTCCTTAATTCATCATTTCATCTTTTCATTTCATCATTTCATTTCATCATTTCACTTCATCATTTCATTATTTCATTTCATTTCACCATTTCATGTCATCATTTCATCATTTCATTTCATTTCATCCTTTCATCATTTCATCTCATCATTTCATCATTTCATCTCATTTCATTTCATCATTTCATTTCTTCATTTCATCATTTCATTCACTTCATCATTTCATTTCATTTCATTTCAGTGATACATGTATTTAAGTGCTAATGCGGTGCCCAGGAGACACCCTATTTCCCTTTGTAAAACACCTCCTTCAACAAAAGGCAACCTCTCATGGCTGGCTAAGTCTACAGGGATACCAGCCTCTCTTCAACCACCCAATTTCATTTAGAACCTCAAACAGCACCTCAGTTTCATAAAAACCTAAAACATAAACACAACACTTGGTTGTAAGTGAGCCAAGTTTCTTGCCTCTTTCTCTGCTCAAGGCTTAAGGCCGTGTCTCCCCAACTACGTTCAGTGGAAGAAAAGATCCCCTGGACAAATAAGTTTGAGAACTGTTGTTACAGGAATTCTCAGAACATTTAAAACACAAATCCTCATCCGCAGGGATCTTCAGGAGGGAGATGGCTGATGCAGCACAACTTTCTTTCACAGAAGTATCTTGCAGAATACAGTATGAGATACAGAAAGGCTGCATTGAGTCTTTTTAATGGCTCGGGCCTTGGTGGGGGTGGGTAGGAGCTCTCCAGATAGCATCTAATGAGTAGGAACATTCGGGTGGCTTTTTTTTTTTTCTTTATTGGCAAAACTGTGTGTGCACCATGAATGAAGCTGGTCTCCCTTATCCATATCAAAACTAAACCCAAAGTAATTGGCTAAATTGGGACTCAACACCTCCAGGAGCCACGTGGCAGAAAGCCCCAGCACACTTTAAAGTAGCTTACCTCATCATATTTGAGGAAAGCAAAACACTTATGACCAGTATGCTGCTAATACAAGTCTACAGATAATGCTGTATGAAAAATTAGTTTTCCCAGTCATAGCTGGCATAGTCCACATTT
Source organism: Homo sapiens (assembly GCF_000001405.40). Classification (NCBI taxonomy): domain Eukaryota; kingdom Metazoa; phylum Chordata; class Mammalia; order Primates; family Hominidae; genus Homo; species Homo sapiens. The sequence goes on from NC_000018.10 coordinate 15,195,578, forward strand.
TGCATTACACTTTCCCCCCTTTTTTTAAATTTTAAGCACAGGTCTTTTACTCTTCTTTTGTTAAATTTTAATTCAATTATACAAGACGGAGTCTCAGTATGTTGCCCAGGCTGGTCTTCAACTCCTGAGCTCAAGGGATACATCCGTCTCCACCTCCCAAAGTGCTGAGATTACAGGCCTGATACACTGTGCCTGGCCTTAAACACAAATCTTAATTCATTCTTACAATTATTCTGAGGTTAGAAAAATGGAAGGGGAAGAAAAATGGCAAGCAGGTAGGCTGACTTCGGCTTCATTATCTGGAAGGACAGTTTGCTCAGTTAAAACACACTACTGCCCACAAAGGCCAAGACAACAGAAAAATACAGACTTATATAAATAGATTTTATATGTGACAGCAGTTTGAATGGAGACTTTTTCAATGCAATGAGAAACAGCTGTGCTTGGGAATAAATGACAACGAATTTTTTTATCTCAACAGCTGTCCTGAGAGCATGTCTTTACATCTCTACCTGCATTCTGGAATCAGGGAGAAAGCCAAAACGGATGACAAGACACTAGATCAGCCGTGTCCAACCCTTTGACTACAAGGACTTTTCCGCCTATCTGTGGTGGTGGGTATCATGAAAATTATGCACAAACTTTTTTTTTTTTTTAAGCTCATCAGCTGTTGTTAGCATTAGTGTATTTTATGTGTAGGCCAGGAGCATTCTTCTTCCAATGTGGCCCTGAGAAGCCAAAAGACTGGACACCTGTGCACTAGATCAAAAGGCTACTCCTTCTGGAAGCAACTGTAAAGAATTTCTGACATTATCTTGACATGAAAACCAATGGATAGTGGGACAGAATGCAAAATCTTCAAGAATTTTTCTTGTTGGTTTTTTTTTTGAGTCAAGGTCTTGCTCTGTGGCCCAGGCTGGAGTACACTGGTGAGATCACACAGCTCAGTGCAGGCTCAAGTGCTCCTCCCACCTCAGCCACAGTAGTAGCTGGGACTACAGATGCGCACAACCACCCCTGGCTAATATTTTATTTTTTGTAGAGATGGGGTCTCACTATATTGTCCAGGTTGGTCTCAAACTCCTTGACTCAAGGGATCCAGGATAGGATAACAGGTGGGAGCCACCACACCTGGCCATGTGCATGAACTTTTAAGACAAACACAAGGCCCCACAAAAATTAAGGTTTTTCCCACCTAATTTCCAGGGGGATCTTTTGGTGCAAGGCTGAGAAGCCCTTAAAAGTACACAGACAACTGCAAAGATTCAAGACAGTTCATTTGGGCTGAGCCAGCCCACTGGGCAGACTGACCTTCAAAAAAGGCCCACCCATGACATACACCAGATGGCTCTCCAAGAATCTCTTCAGTCCTCAGGGTCCCTAAGGTACTGGACAGAGCTAGGAAAGCAAACCCATTTGCTTCTTCCTGCAGGGAACCCCTTGAGGTCAAGACCCCACAATCAGACGAGGATGGAGTGGCTCACCCTCAGTCAACAGGCCATACTCACGGTGGTATAATGTCTTAACCAAGGGTGCGGGCCTCCAGGTCTGACTCCCAACTCAGTTCTTCTTTAATAACCACACTTTGTTAATTCTCCTTAACAGGGGTTCCTGGCAAGTCAGTTCTCCCTCAGGCCTTCAGTTTCCTCACCTTACAAGATGAGAGGGCTGGATCAGATGGAAATTCAGGGGGTAAGGGGATATCCGCGCGCAGCCCACCCCCGCCCCCACGGGACCCTGGAGCCTCCATCCCAGTTCCCACCACGCACCCGCCCCACAAATCCTGCCCAAGGTGAGGGCTGGTCCTGGGTCCTCTGGCTGCTGCATCAGCGAGTGCAGGAGGGAGGGGAAGCCTCCAAGGGGGTGACGCGGGCTCAAGGATGCAACTCAGCCAGGAGTGAACTGGGGCCCTGAGGGAGGTGTCCAGGCCACTCCTGGAGCCCAGCCTGGGTCCCCGAACCCCTTACCTCCAGGGTCCGTATCTCCTGCTGGGTGAGGTCATTGGACACAGCGCACTTGGTGCACAGCCCGCACAGGCTGCCAATGAAGATGACAATGAGCTTCTGGAGCTGCCCGCACTGCTGCAGCACCCGGCTGGGAGCGACCCCTGAGCCACCCTCCGCAGCTCCCGCATCACCCCCACCACCGCCCTCCTTCTTCTCTCCCATCGCCTCCGCGCGCAGCGCCACTCTATGCAGGCCACAGCGGCCTAGGCAGGGAGCCCGGGGCGCAGGCGCCTAGGCAAGGAACCCCTGAGCCAGGAGAGCTGGACCAGGGGCCCTTGCCAGGACGCCAGTAGAGCTGGCAGCCGAGTCTGCCGCTCCCGCCCTCAGAGCCGCGGCGGCGGGGACAAAAATCCTGGGCGGCGGGGGCAAAAAGCCGCGGCGGGAAAAAGGTGCGGCGGCGGGGGCAAAAAGGAGCGGCGGCGGGGGAAGAAGCCGCGGCGGCCGTGGAAAAAGTCGCGGCGGCAAAAAGCCGCAGAGTAGGGGGCGAAAAGACGCAAAAAGCCGCGGCGGCAAAAAGCCGTGACGGCTGGGAGCAAAAAGCCGCGGCGGCGGGGGCAAAAAGCCGGGGCGGCGGGGGCAAAAAGCAGCGGTGGCGCTGACAAAAAGCCGCAAAAAGCAGCGGCAGCGGGGGTAAAAAGCTGCAAAAAGCCGCGGAGGCGCGGGCGATAAGCCGCGGCGGCGTGGAGCAAAAAGCCGCGGCGGCGGGGAGCAAAAAGCCGCGGCGGCGGGGGCAAAATAGTGGAAATGGGGTAGAAGGCCCGCACAGCTTGGCATTGCTGGGGTGTGATGTGATAGGAACAGTGAAGCTGAAGACAAAAAAAAAAAAGATGTAAGTAGGCTTGACTCAGTGCAGCTAAGAACCCAGATGTTATCTTGAGGGTATTAACTAATAAGCAGTTTAAATCAGAATGGCACATTCTGATTTGTTTTTTGTATGTTCACATTTGGCAGGCATAGATACTGTTTGAAGAGAGGAAAGTCAGTAGATAGAGGTAACAAAGTTAAATATGTGCCAAGTCTAGAAACAAGAGACTAGGGGTATAAGGACCTTTCAAAATAAAATGCAAGGTTTGAAAACTGATTGGCTGGGGGATGAGGAAAAGGCAGGTCTTTAAGGTCAATCCGTGTTTTGCTTTAAGTTGTTAGCGGGTGGTTTTATCACATATTGTAGAATATGTCATTTCAGTTTTGAACATCTTGAGTTAAATTGTGCTAACATGTTATGAATTTGATTTTCTTCCCTGGGAAGCTAATATTTCAAAAACTTATAGATTTCCAACTTGTATCCAATTTATAAAATTATCTCTAGGCTGCTGGTTTCAGGAGGAGGCTCATGAATATTCTATTTGCAGAGAATATATCAGGAGTTAACATCAGCGTCAATATTTGTGAATGACCAGTTAATTAAGCCACCTCTTAATGTATTTAGATGGGAAATCTTAGCTGAAGATATTCAATAATGAACCAACAGTGACTAAAAAATTCAATATTTAAGTATATTTCATTGTAATTAATTTGAATTAAAGTAGCCATATACAGCTAGTATTTACTACATTGAACAATGCAAATAAGAGGAAAAAATTAACCATCTCTAATACCACATGCCAAAATCCTCATCAATTTATTCTAGCTAAAGGAGTTTATCAGAAGCAGCAATTGAAAGCACCAACTAAACCAGCTGGGGTTAATTCACTGTCATTCTCTCAGAACCATCTCTTCTCTGAACAAAACAAGTAGAAGAGTTAATTGTGAATCTGCATTTTCCTTGCTATTTTAAGATTTTGATGTTGACACTAATTTGTGAAATCCCTCCTGTGGTGTGATATTTTGTTTTCCTTGCTTTTTGTTAGGACAAGAATGCTTCAGCTCTTAATTTAAAATTATGTTTCTCCCTCCTAGATTGAGTGAACTTAGAATGCATTCTCTGACATATCCAAGTTTTTGTTAATATGAATTTGGGGAAAAAAGCATACTTAATTAGCTAAGACTTCTTATTCTAGGCTTGACCCTGTGTTCGACATCTTTTGAATTTGTAGTTGCATAGGCTGCTCTCTGACACTGGTTAGTGACCTGGAAGCTATATTAACGTTAGGAGAGGTGGTGTATGAGCATTAGAGATATCCTTGCAAGGAAAGACTTGTCGTATGTCAACACGTCTTTTTTTTTTTGCACACAAGAAAGTCAAAGTTTGAGTCTTCTAAAATCTTCCCATTTCCAAGTTGCAGAGTACCATTGATTCCTAAACAAAGATCTAATTTTTGACTCAGAGACGTGGCAAGGTAGTGAATCACCATTATAATTTAACAATCTTCAAGATAAAATTATCTCTCTGATATTTAGATTTTGCCCAATTATTAAGATATTTGGGTGTTTCATTAAGAATGGAAGACTCTAGTCTCTTGAGCAGAGACTATAAAGGCCTCAGATGATCATTTATAATTTTATGCTCTTTTCTTTAACATCTTCAACACAGTTGGAAGCAGCCAATATTCCCCAGAGTTGTTGTGTTTTTTAAACAAAATGCATGGTTCAGTGGTAGAAAACTGGGCTGATCCAAGATATTTTCACTAAACACTTCATTTCAGGTGACCTATTTCATATTAAATAATCTCTAGATCCTGTCTTCAAAACTAACTAGATCAGATAACCTACCCTAGATTTTCCCCTTTTAGAGTCTGTTAGCTGCGGTCACTTTTGTGAAAATGATTGCAATGAAAAGATAGAGTTGTAGATGGGGAAAATGTTTTGACTAATTTAAGCATAGTGGTATTTAATATGAGAATTTAAGTTACACATTTGAAAATTATAATGGAGTCTCTTGGCTGAGCTTTAAAAAAAAAATAGCGTTTAGGCTAAAAAGGGAACTGCTACCTCTCCTAAAATCAGAAAGATGTTACAGTAATTCTCCATTCTCTAGAATTATCAGGAAGCACCTTTGTGATGATTTACTTTTGCTCTTGGGAGTGTGAGCCTGTGTAGTCATGGAACCATCAATTAGAATGATGGCTTTCTGATCCCAAAGTCATTCGTTCTGAAAACAATATTTTTCATAAATTTGAAAGTGAGAAGTTTTGATCTTGCCATTCCCAAGTAACTCTCTTAATAAGAGGCATCAGCATGCTTCAGTGACAGCTGTCACCTCCCAGTGCTGAGAGTCATCTTTGAGTTCTCCATTTCACTCCCTACACTCCAATTTAGCTGCAGTTCTCTTGGCCAATCCTATGAAATACATCCATGGCCTAATGACTTCTCACCACTAATACCACTCATACTAACAGCATTCTCACCTAAGTCACTACCTTTTTTCTCTGGATTACAATAGCCTCCCAATTTACTTGCTCACATAACCTATTTATTCTACACAGTGCACCAGATACACCCCTTTGAAATGCAAACATGATCATATTATTCTCTGGTGAAATTATCTCATATATTCCTATCGCATTTAAAATTCATTCAGAATAATCCCATGATTATCAAAACCCTGCTCTTCCACAACATGGTTTACTTCCAAGATATCTCTTCAACTTTTTTTTCACTGTACTGAATTGGTGACTCATAGTCATATTTTTGTTTTTGCTCAAAAAGTCTTGACTTGTAAATTTTTCAGTTTCTCCTTTATCCACAGGTAACTCTTTCCTCATAAGGCAAATTGCTTGCTTCCTTGAGTTCTGCTCTCAAAGATACCCTTCATTTTCTACCTAATATTAATAACTTTAATCATTCATTATTCTATTACTATGCTGTATAGTGTATACAATTTCTGTTCTTTGTCATGTTATTAACTAAATTATTTATCTGTTCCAGTAACGTATTCCATAAATATTGTACACATAAAAATTATGTTATTTTTATTGCTGTATGCTCAGCTGCCCAATAGCAGTTTGAGGATTAACATATTTGTTAAATGCACAAATGCATTCTTTCACAAATATTAGTTTAATAATTTTATATTAAACTCCCTATATACTTACAATATGAATTAGATAATTCAGAATAAATATTCCATTGGAAAAAACTAAACAATTTGTTATAAAACATCCTTAAAAGCATCAGAAAGTTAATAAAGCAATGAAGAATTACAGGACCAAGTTAAGAATGGTATGGAAGCCTGTTTGTGAGGCTTATGTTTGGGTTATCTCTTTACTTAGAGTGACTATAAATCTCAAAAGAGAACTAAAGGGAGAAATAACCATATCTACTCACATGGTAAGGGTATTTAAACATCTCTTAGTAATTGAGAAAATTGAAAGAAAAGAAAAAAGAGAAAGGGAGAAAGAGAAACAGAGCGAAAGGGATAATGAAGGAGAGAAAGAAGAAGAGAAAGGAAGAGGAAGAAAAGTAAAGAGGAGGGGGAGGGAGGAAGAAAGAAAGGTGAAAAGAAAGAATGGTAAAGTTTTTAACAACATAATTTATCCTTATAGAATATGAATGTTGGTCTACTTGATGATGTCCCACAGATTCCTTAGTCGCTGTTCATTTTTTATCTGTTTCTCAGAGTCAATATTTTCCATTATCTTATCTTCAAGCTCATGACTTCTGTGTGTGCAAATATACTCTTAAATCCCTCCAGTGATTTTTTAATTTTTATCATTGTAGTTTTCCACTCCAGAATTTCTGTTATCTCTTTGTTGATATTCCTACTTTTTAATATTTTTTCTGATTCCTTTATTTCTTTGTTTATGTTTTCCTTTTGACATTTGAGTATAATTAAGAGAGTTGTTTTAAAGTCTTTGCCTAGTAAGTTTGATGTCTGGGTTTCCTTAGAGATATTTTCTGTCAATTTATTTTGTTCCTTTCAATGAGCCATACTTTCCCGTTCTTTGTATGCCTTGTAACATTTTTTGAAAACTGGACATTATAGTAATTATAATTACTATGTGGTTACTCTGTAAATCAGACCCTCTCCCCTTCAAACACACTAATGTTTTGTGGCTTTAAATTTGCTTTACTTATTATATTGTTAAGGTTTTTATTTTTAGTGAATTTTTCCAAAGTGATTTACAAAACTGTTTGCTTTATAAGGTGTGGTCTGAAGTCTTTTTATTTCCTTAACAGATGTTAAGCTAATGTTTTGACAGTGATTTTCTTGTATATCAGGAACTAAGCAAACAGAAAAATACAACAAAAAGAAAAAGAAAAACAAGTAATCATTATCCAGCAAAATATGTCTCTAGGCCATGCAGACTGGCTTTGTGCTGGGTTCCTTAAAGCCGGCACAAAGTGTGTGTTCACTCTTGCACTGAGTGAAGTTCAAGTTCACTCTTGCACAGACCTTGCACTGAGGGGAGGGATCAGCCAAGGTAAAAGTGCAGGGTCTTCTTATGACATTTGTCAGCATGTGGCTTAACCTATGCATACATGTGACATTCTAGACTCTCCCATGTACGTGAATGACTTTGAATGTCTTAGTTTTCCAAATACTCTTCTCCAACTTTTCTTCCTGTGCTGAAGGTGATCTATTATATGTGTAAACTCTAATTTTTGCCCTAAGCATCTGTGGTTTGTTAGGTCTCCTTGCAGAGTTTCTTGATAATATCCATTCCTTATCTGTTCTGTATTCTAGCAACACAGAAAAAGAAAAGCCTTTCATTAGTCCTTTAGGTATGCCCCAGACCAGTCAGAACAGACACATAATAATTTGCGGGTAAGATCTTCTCTTTTTCCTTTGGACCATGGACCAGGGTTCCTCACTGGGAACGTGGGCTTCTGACACTTCAAAACTGCCAATTTGCTGGGGCAAAGGCAAGTTAAAAATGTCATAAAGTTTTCAAGTTGTCTTTTTCTTGAATCTGCTTTCACTTGGTTGTTGTAATCTTTTGACCATTTTCCAGAGTTTTAGCAAAGTTTATTCGGACAGTTTCTCTTTGTTGTGTGATGTTTCTGTGGGGAAATGAAAGATTGCAGCTGTCTCCACTGCCATTTTGCTGATGCTCCTCTTTTGTCAATTTTTGCTTCATGTTATTATGCTTTGTTATTAGTTCATGTATTAGTTTTCTAGGGCTGCCATAACAAAGTAACACAAACTGGGTGCCTTGAACAACATACATTTATAGTCTTATAGTCCTGGAAGCTCAAAGTCTGAGATTGAGGTGTCAGCAGGGATGGTCCCTTCAAGGGCTATGAGAGAAAGTCTGTTCTGTGCCTTGTTTCTAGCTTCTGGTGGTTTAGTGGCAGTCTTTGGCATTCCTTGGCTACTCTCTTCCCTCATAATCACATGGTACTCTCCCTGTGTGTATGTCTCCCTCTACTCAAATTTCTTTTTTTTATAAGGACATCAGTCATATTGAATTCAGGCTCATCTGATTTTATCTTAACTTGATCACCTGCAAAGAACCTTTTTCCTAATGAGATCATATTCAGTGGTTAAGATTTCAGCATCTATATAGAGGAAACAATTTAGCTCATATCTGTGCATACATGATTGTAATAGCTATGTCTTCCAAAAGCGTTGACCCCCTTGTTACTACTGTATAAATTTTTAAAATCCTATTCACATTTTTAATAGTCTCTATCGTGTTTTATGAGTATAATGGGTTCAGTGTTCTTATGATTGCTTTTGCATGATATTTTTTGTCATCTTTTTACTTTCAATCCATTAGTATCCTTGCATCTCAGCGTATATTGGGATCACTTGTTTTAATCCAGTCTGACAATCTCTGCCTCTTGATTAGATTTTAATCTGCTCACATTTAATATTATAATTGGTATAATTCTATTTATGTCTACCATTTTGCCGTTTGTTTTGTATATTTCTCAAATATTTTTCTTTATTGCTTTATTTGGCAATGAATGAATATTTTCTAAAATAGGGAACTTTAGATTACTAATGAATTATTTTACTATATATTTTTGAGAATTTTTGTTGTTTTTGTAAGTTTACCATATAGGTATATGGAAAATTAATTATTCCAATTGTCTTCCAATTTATACTAGTAAACTTTTAGTAATACATAGAAATATCATTCTTATACAAATCTTTTTTATTTCCTCCATTTTAAAGTATTATCCCTTTACACATTACATCTATTAAAGTTACAAAGCCAACAATACATTTTAGTAATTATTACTTTACCATCTAGAATGATTACCTTATCACAATATATTTTTCTTCCAACTACCTCCTTTTTGATGTTACTGGAAAATATGTTATAGACGTATTACATTTCTACATGTCAAATACTCAGCAATACATTATGCACATATTATTATTATCATTGAGACGGAGTCTCCCTCTGTCGCCCAGGCTGGAGTGCAGTGGCACAATCTCCACTCACTGCAAGCTCCATCTCCCGGCTTCATGCCATTCTTCTGCTTCAGCCTCCCGAGTAGCTGGGACTACAGGCGCCCGCCATCACGTCCAGCTAATTTTTTGTATTTTTAGTAGAGACGGGTTTCATTGTGTTAGTCAGGATGGTCTCGATCTTCTGGCCTCATAATACACCCGCCTCAGCCTCCCAGAATGCTGAGATTTCAGGCGTGAGCCATCATACCCGGCCATTATACACATATTTTAAAAACAATTTATGATAAAGAGAAAACACACATTTCTACTGTGTTTTATAATGTTAATGTTACCTATACCAGTGCTTTTTTAAAAATGTGGATTCAAATGACTGACTTGGGTAACTTGCTTTTAGCCTTAGGAATTTATTTTAGTGTTTTTTTTTTTTTTGTATGGTAGGTCTGCCAGCAACAACTTCAGTTAATATTTCTGTTTATCTGGGTAAGTCTTTGTGTTATCTTCATTTTTGAAAAATAATTGCTCATTAAGGAATTGGTGGCTGACAGCTTTTTTTCCTTGCATCTTTTGAATATATTATTCTACTGTCTCTTGCCTTCCATTGTTTCTGTTAAGTCAGCTGTTAATCTTACAAAACATAGGTGCTCAAAAAATAAACATGTGCATGAATATTTACAGCAGTAATATTCATACAGTCAAAAAGTGGAAACAATCCATATGCTTGTTGACTCATAAATGAACACCCAATATTCAGCTATAACAAAGAATGAAGTACTTATACATAGTATAATATGGGTGAAATTTGAAAGCATTATGTTAAATGCACAAAAGGACAAATATTACTTGATTTTATTCGCATGAAACATCAGGAATTGGCAAATCAATTGGGATATAATTCAGATTAGTGGTCATTAGGGATCAGGGAAGCAGAATAGGGTGTAACGACTTTATGCATAATGGGTTTTTAGAAGGGACATGATGAAATTGTCCTGGAACATCGTGAATATACTAAAAACAACTGCATTCTTTGCTTTAAAATGGTTGTTATTAATTTTATATTATGTGATTTTTACCTTAAAAAACAAAAAAGAGAAAATAGCCTTACTCTATACATAATAAACTCAAGATGTGTCACAAATTTATATGTGAAATCCAAAATACTATATTTAAGGAATAGCTAAGTAGAATAACACTAAAATTTAACATAATGAAATATTTTCTTAAAAAAGAAAAAAGCACGGTAATTAAAAAGGGAAATATACTTAATATTTTTTCTCTCCATTAAGCATACCATTAACTGATTAAAAAATCAAGCTGCAATTATGTAAACTACATTTTCTAAAACCATAAAGAAAATAAGACATGAAAAGGAATTTGGGGAAAAAAATCCAAAGGTACAGTCAACTACACAAAAAAAGCTTAGTCTCATTAATCACTATGAAAATGCAAATTGTAATTAAAATAAGGTAAAACTACAATTCAAAGAGAAAGCCTAAAATTTCAACCCCCAAAAAATTCTGGGTTTTGGAGAGCTGGGATGGAATAGGGCTCCTAACCTTACAACAATGAAAGAACCAAACTAACTTCAAAGTCATGACTTTATTTTTATAGCAACCAGGTTGCCAAGAACTGAATCAAAATGTGAGGGAAAGCAAGCACCTGCAAGGAGAAAGAGGACAGATGCACTTACATAGGACAGATGCAAATAGACACCACTATGACAAGTAAAACTGGAATGATCAATAAATTCCTAAAGACAAAGTGGGGCTGGTGGCATTGGGAGATGGCTGACAGCTGCAGAAGTTGGGAAAGATCCATCATCTTGAAAACTTTTTCCCCACAAATCCACTGTGATCTCTCAAGCAATTGGTAAGGAATCCAAGAGAGTCTGTATATGATACAGATCAGGGAGAGCAGAACACTTGGGAGGTGACCAGGTCTTGGGGGCCGAGCCCTTATGAATGGGATTAGTGCCTTTATAAAAGAAGCTCAATGGAGTTCTTGTGTGCCTTCCACTATGTGAGGACATAGAAAGAAGGCACCATCTATGAACCATGAAATGGGCTCTCATCAACACTGAATTTGTGAGCAACTTGACCTGAGATCTTACAGCCTCAAGAAGTGTGAAAAAAGAAATATGTGTTGTTTTTTAGTCACCCGGTTTATGTTATTTTGTTATAAGAGTCCAAATAGACCAAGATATTCCACTTAATATGTAGGGGAAGGCAACCAAAACTGCCACACTTAGAATACTCCTGATGCTGGAAGTATGAAAACAGGAAAAACAAAACAAAACTGCTCTTGAAGGTGAAGGAGGAATATCACTGAGCTCACCAACACAGCCAGGAAAAGAACAGAAGTGTGAGAAGGCTACATTCCTGAGACCCTGAGAAAAAGTACCTGCATAAGATTGAGATGAAATTACCTACGCTAGTTATAACTGAAATCCCAAAAAGAAAAGAGGAAAAAATAATGGAGCAAAAGAAATATTTTTCGAAATAACTGCCAAAAATATTCTAAAAGAAGTGACAGAAAATCAAACTTCAGATATAGGAAACTCAGAGAATGTCAAATAGAACAAAAATAAATAAGAATTAAATCTTGAAAAATCTTTAAAAAATCAACTCTAAATTTTATATCTTGCTCCAAATATATAGAGATATAAATAGGTTATCATCAAGATATGGAGAAAGCCATATCATGGAAACACTAAAATAAAGCTGTGGAAGGACTACATTGATATTAGACACAACAGAGTTCAGAACAAGAAATAGTATCAGAAATGAGAGATAATAGATAATATAATAATCAATTCTCAAGAAGATGTAAACATCCTACTAATTAGGGTATGCAGCTAACAATAGATCCTCCAAATACATGAGGTAAAACAGGAAAGAAATCGAAGGTGAACTAGAAAAATCCAAAATTATATTTGCAGACTTCAACACTTTTGTCTTAGTAATGGACAGACTAGGCACAAACTCAATAATCATATGGAAGATAAGAACAAAAATATCACCAACAAGACATCCAATCTTCAATGGCAGATACTCTTTCCTTTCAAGTGAAAAAAAAAACAGTATGGCAAATTCTCTAACAAACCCAGAATTTCTAATATTTGCCGTCTTCCTTCCTTCTTTCCATCTTCCTTTCTCTTCTCTTCCCTTCCCTTGCCTTCTTCCTTCCTTTCTTCTTTTCCTCTTTTCTTTTCTCTTTTCCTTTCTTTTCTTTCTTTTTTCTCCTTCCTTTCTTCTTTCCTTCCTTCTTTCTTTCCTCTTAGTCTTCCTTCCCTCCTCCCTCCCTTCCTTTCTCCCTCCCTTCTTTTCTTCCTTCTTTTCTCTTATTCTTTCTTTCTCACTTTCTTGCTTTCTTTCTTTTTTTCTCCCTTCCTCCCTCCTTTTCTTCCTTCCTCCCTCCCTTCCTTTCCTCCTTTTTCCTTTCTTCCTTACTTCCTTCCTTTTCCTCTTTATTTTCTTTGTTTCTTTGCCTTCCTCCCTTTTACCATTCTTTCTTCCTCCTTTCCTTCCTCCCTTCCTCCTTTCTTTTTCTCTCTTTCTTTCTTTCTTTCTTTCTTTCTTGTGTTCTTGCTTTCTTTTTTCTCCCTTCCTGCCTTTCTCCCTTCCTCCCTCCCTCCCTTCCTTCTCTCATTTCCTCCTTCTTTTCTTTCTTCTTTCTTTCTTTCCTTCCTTCCTTCTTTCCTTGCTTCTTTTTTCTTTCTTTTCTTTTCTTTCTTTCTCTTTACAATTCATATTATTTTAAAAAATTAAGAGAGGGAGGCAGAAAAATAAAGAACACTTTAATCTGCAGGTAAATAGATTATGTCTGGTGTAGACAAAAGAATGGCCTCCCAAAAATGTTCATGTCCTAATTCCCAGAGTCTAACATACAAATATGTTAGGTTGCATGGCAGTGGGAAATTAGATTTCAAGTGAAATTAAGTTTGCAATAAAATGATGGAGAGATTATCTTAATTGGGTGGGATCAATGAAATCACAAGCTTCCTTATAAGTGAAAGAAGAAGGCAGAAGAAAGGCAACCATGGAGGTGGTGGCATGAGAAATTACTCAACATCACTGACTTTTAAGATACAAGAATGAGGACCCAGCACGGTGGCTCACGCCTAATCCCAGCACTTTGGGAGGCCGGGGTGGGTGGATCACGAGGTCAGGAGATCGAGACCACCCTGGCTAACATGGTGAAACCCCATCCCTACTAAAAATACAAAAAATTAACTGGGCATGGTGGCACATGCCTGTAGTCCAAGCTACTCAGGAAGCTGAGGCAGGAGAATCGCTTGAACCCGGGAGGCAGAGGTTGCAGTGAGCTGAGATCATGCCACTGCACTCCAGCCTGGGCGACAGAAGGAGACTCCATCTCAAAAAAAAAAAAAAAAAAAAAAGATATAAGAATGAGGTCATGTTCCAAGGAATAAAGGTGGCCTCTGGATGCTGAAAAAAATCAAGTACATAGATTCTGCCACAGAGCCCTCAGAAAGACTGCAGCCCTGCCCAAAACTTGATGTTAGCCCTGTGAGTCTCATTTAAGGCTTCTGAGCTCCAGTACTGTAGGATTACCAGTCACTTTATTGTAAGATATGAAGTTTGTGGTAATTGGTTACAGCAGCAAGAGGAAGTTTATATAGTAATTGTATCATGAAAATCAGAACCATAATTTACAACTGCTTTTAATACTGCACTTGGATGTTTGAAATCACGTACATGGAAATGATCACTGTGTATGAGGGAGGATAGCAAATTAATACCAAAATAACGCAAATGCAAATCTTACACTCATTTCTATGTAGGTTTCACTTAATCTTTGAAATTAAAAGGAAATTAAAGGATTATGATATTTTGATGAAATTAGACTAAAATGAACAATAACAAAATAAGAACTTACTTATATTCTTTATGTGGTCAATAAAGAAGTGATAGTGGAAAAAAACAAGGTCAAATAAAGGTGATGATTTACGAAGTTGGAAAGATAGCTTAAACTACAAAATGGTATATAACTAGTGAACACTTAGACACACTGATTGATGAACTTCAGCTTTCGGCTTGGTGAGAGCATAAAATGAGAGCAGCTGAGGTTTGCAAATTTGTAATCTCCTTGTGGAAAAACAGGGGAAAACACATCTCAGCCTAATAACATTTATCTACTAAAGAGTCAACACTTGATCCATTTGTCCTTATAATTCAAAAGCTAATTCAAATACTGATTTGATGTATTCTGTGAACAACCATTGCTGATTATCATCGCATACCTGGCATTCTCTTTTATCTGATATCTAAAATATTTGCTAATTCCTGGACTTTCTCTTTTCATACCCAATGCGGTTTAATTTCAATCTTAGAACAGTTGTCTTTGAGAAATTCTTCCCTCTACTGCATCTGTGAATGGGCATAGCATGGTTACATACATACTGTCACCCCAGAGAACATTTGTTAAACTAAAGCCAAAGTTTAAAGCAACAGCTTTAACTCACTGGTTTTACGAATGTTTTCCTCCCCAATAGCCACAACAATATTGATACCCTCACACTTTTTAACATAAAGCTTGGTGTTGTCTATTTTTCAGGTGCTGTTATCTATATGATCTCAGTATTTTAAAAATCAGCTTCCAGCCCATATGGTGGCTCATGCTTGTAATACCAGCCATTGAAGAGGCTGAAATGAGAGGATTCTTTGAGCCCAGTAGTTCAAGAGCAACCTGGGCAACATAGCAAGACCCAGCCTCTATCAAAAGTTAAAAAAAAAAAAAGGTGGGCATGGTGATGTGCACCTGTTGTCCTAGCTATTTGGGAGGCCAAGGTGGAAGGATTGCTTGAGCTTGGGAGGTTGAGGCTGCAGTGAGCAGTGATTGCACCACTGCACTCCAGCCTGGGCAACAAAGCAAGACCCTATCTCAAAAAATATATATAATAAAAATAAAAATCAGCTGTCATTGAGTTCTACATAAATAGGCACAGGTGATGTCCATATAGACATAAATAATAATATATCTGACAATGGGTCCATATGATCTTCAAAATGTAAAATGCTTATCTGTGTAATTGACTGGTTAGTCTCATTAATGAATATAGATTCAATTCTACTTTCTTGTTCTAGATAAATTACATAATCTAGCTTTTCGTTTCACTTATTTACTGATAACAACAGGAGGAATGACAAGATATCTGTTTTGGAAAATTACTGTCGTAGGAGTAAAGGTGAAACAATGAAAGAATTACATGGAAAACTAGAAAAAAGTATGGTCTTCTGATATTCTATTACATCATATACTAAAGGCCTCATAAAACTCAGATATTTTATCTAAAAATATTATTTTCATCTTAGGATTGATCAAAGCATGAGACTAGAATTGTATTACAATGACTCTCACAAGCACATGTGCCAAAAAGGAGGGGAAAACATCATTACTGATATTTTAAACGTATGTTTTACTTTCCATCAACATGAACCTCAACTTGATATGATGCAGATTGAAGGAAATCACCCATAATTCCATATGAAGAAGGCCTGTGATGTTTTATGGGAAAATAAATAGAGAAAATGCTAACAGAAACCCTATTAAGCATTAAGCTTTATGGAGCAAAGACAAATCCAGTGGTGAAAGATACACACTGGAGTTCTGTTTGTTGTCTTGGAACAATATGGTTTAGAGGTGACTGGTGGGTGAGGAGAACATATGTGAGTTCACCAAACAGAAAAGCTGAATGAGGCAATGCCTCTTCCTGATCATATCTCTTACTCAGATAACTATATAATTTATTGCCCAGTAAAGGGTATATTTAAAAATCATATTAAAAGTCATGCAATGAAGTTGTCCAGGGAAATCAAGACTTAACAGTCTCACTCTGACAATAATGAATAGGGGGGTTCCCTCAAGATAGACTAGGACATGACCCCACACTGGCAGGCAGTAGTACCAGAAAAGAAACCATGGAAAATCTTTACCTTATGCTTGAGGTAGGGACCAGGCTAAAGTGAAAGCCAGACATAAAATTCTACCTAAAATATATCCACAATCAAAGAAAATATGTGGTGTACAGGCATAGAATGTCCTTACTGGATCATTGAAATAGTAAGATAAATTCAAATTTTTACATTGTTTTATTTTCCTCCAGTTAGGGCTTGAGGTTTGTCTCTGGAGAGTGACTGTCAATTGGAGCCCTGCCTTTCTCGGGTTCTGAGCAGGGGATTGTGGATGCTTAACATGTGCCTTTCACAAGGCACTTCCTTACCCCAGCAGTGGCCAGGTGTGCATCCCACGACCAGGCCTCCCTCTCACAGAACATCTGTTGAGACTAGGAGATGCCTGGTGGCTGTTGCCTGACCTGTGTCCTGTGTATTTCTGACAAGAGCCACTCTTAGAGACCCTGGCCAGGAGGAGAGTTAGGTTCCAGTGTAGGTCAGATCAGACACATGGAGGCCACAGGACCAAACATGGGAAATCACAGAATTAGTTTTATTACTCACAGATCCAGAGAGAAGAGAGTAGCTGAGAAGAGGGTTTAGCTGTGTCCCCAGCAAAATCTCATCTTGAATTCCCACATGTTGTGGGAGGGAACAGGTGGGAGGAAATTGAATCATGGGGGCAGGTCTTTCCCATGCTGTTCTTTTGATAGTGAATAAGTCTCACAAGATCTGATGGTTTTATAAAGGGGAGTTTCCCTGCACAAGCTCTCTTGTCTTGTCTGCTGCCACGTGAAACGTGCCTTTCACCTTCCACCATGATTGTGAGGCCTACCCAGCCATGTAGAACTGTGCGTCTATTAAACCTCTTTGTTCTGGAAATTACCCAGTCTTGGGCTTGTCTTTACCGGCAGTGTGAAAATGGACTAATACAGTAGCACTCCTCATAGGGCTGAACAAAATGTGGAAGATGAGTGGGGAGCAAGAAAGAGAAAAGGGGTCTGTGAGACTCCAGCCTTTATTGGGCCCAGAACATTACCCAAATAAGTTTTCCATGGGGCTCTGGTCAGTGGGGTGAGTGCCAGCAGGCACATTTCTTGGCTGCAGCTGCAACTGAGCAGGTCACTCTGGCGTGTGGGGGCTGTCCATGTGGGCTGTGAGGTCTGTGGGGTGAGTCAGGTAGGTTGTATCCAATGGTTCCACAGCGGCTAGTCACCAGGAGGAGGCAGCTGTGTAGAGTCAATATCTGGGCCAGCCACACTGAGGAACTGTGAGGGTTAGAACTGGAAATTGTCTGATGGCCAGTGATGATGAGCATTTTTTCATGTGTTTTTTGGCTGCATAAATGTCTTCTTTTGAGAAGTGTCTGTTCATGTCCTTCGCCCACTTTTTGATGGGGTTGTTTGTTTTTTTCTTGTAAATTTGTTTGAGTTCATTGTAGATTCTGGATATTAGCCCTTTGTCAGATGAGTAGGTTGCGAAAATTTTCTCCCATGTTGTAGGTTGCCTGTTCACTCTGATGGTAGTTTCTTTTGCTGTGCAGAAGCTCTTTAGTTTAATTAGATCCCATTTGTCAATTTTGGCTTTTGTTGCCATTGCTTTTGGTGTTTTGGACATGAAGTCCTTGCCCATGCCTATGTCCTGAATGGTAATGCCTAGGTTTTCTTCTAGGGTTTTTATGGTTTTAGGTCTAACGTTTAAATCTTTAATCCATCTTGAATTGATTTTTGTATAAGGTGTAAGGAAGGGATCCAGTTTCAGCTTTCTACATATGGCTAGCCAGTTTTCCCAGCACCATTTATTAAATAGGGAATCCTTTCCCCATTGCTTGTTTTTCTCAGGTTTGTCAAAGATCAGATAGTTGTAGATATGCGGCATTATTTCTGAGGGTTCTGTTCTGTTCCATTGATCTATATCTCTGTTTTGGTACCAGTACCATGCTGTTTTGGTTACTGTAGCCTTGTAGTATAGTTTGAAGTCAGGTAGTGTGATGCCTCCAGCTTTGTTCTTTTGGCTTAGGATTGACTTGGCGATGCGGGCTCTTTTTTGGTTCCATATGAACTTTAAAGTAGTTTTTTCCAATTCTGTGAAGAAAGTCATTGGTAGCTTGATGGGGATGGCATTGAATCTGTAAATTACCTTGGGCAGTATGGCCATTTTCACGATATTGATTCTTCCTACCCATGAGCATGGAATGTTCTTCCATTTGTTTGTGTCCTCTTTTATTTCCTTGAGCAGTGGTTTGTAGTTCTCCTTGAAGAGGTCCTTCACATCCCTTGTAAGTTGGATTCCTAGGTATTTTATTCTCTTTGAAGCAATTGTGAATGGGAGTTCACTCATGATTTGCCTCTCTGTTTGTCTGTTGTTGGTGTATAAGAATGCTTGTGATTTTTGTACATTGATTTTGTATCCTGAGACTTTGCTAAAGTTGCTTATCAGCTTAAGGAGATTTTGGGCTGAGATGATGGGGTTTTCTAGATAAACAATCATGTCATCTGCAAACAGGGACAATTTGACTTCCTCTTTTCCTAATTGAATACCCTTTATTTCCTTCTCCTGCCTTATTGCCCTGGCCAGAACTTCCAACACTATGTTGAATAGGAGCGGTGAGAGAGGGCATCCCTGTCTTGTGCCAGTTTTCAAAGGGAATGCTTCCAGTTTTTGCCCATTCAGTATGATATTGGCTGTGGGTTTGTCATAGATAGCTCTTATTATTTTGAAATACATCCCATCAATACCTAATTTATTGAGAGTTTTTAGCATGAAGGGTTGTTGAATTTTGTCAAAGGCCTTTTCTGCATCTATTGAGATAATCATGTGGTTTTTGTCTTTGGCTCTGTTTATATGCTGGATTACATTTATTGATTTGCGTATATTGAACCAGTCTTGCATCCCAGGGATGAAGCCCACTTGATCATGGTGGATAAGCTTTTTGATGTGCTGCTGGATTCGGTTTGCCAGTATTTTGGCCATCAGAGAAATGCAAATCAAAACCACTATGAGATATCATCTCACACCAGTTAGAATGGCAATCATTAAAAAGTCAGGAAACAACAGGTGCTGGAGAGGTTGTGGAGAAATAGGAACACTTTTACACTGTTGGTGGGACTGTAAACTAGTTCAACCATCGTGGAAGTCATTGTGGCGATTCCTCAGGGATCTAGTACTAGAAATACCATTTGACCCAGCCATCCCATTACTGGGTATATACCCAAATGACTGTAAATCATGCTGCTATAAAGACACATGAACACGTATGTTTATTGCGGCATTATTCACAATAGCAAAGACTTGGAACCAACCCAAATGTCCAACAATGATAGTCTGGATTAAGAAAATGTGGCACATATACACCATGGAATACTATGCAGCCATAAAAAATGATGAGTTCATGTCCTTTGTAGGGACATGGATGAAATTGGAAACCATCATTCTCAGTAAACTATCGCAAGAACAAAAAACCAAACACCGCATATTCTCACTCATAGGTGGGAATTGAACAATGAGATCACATGGACACAGGAAGGGGAATATCACACTCTGGGGACTGTTGTGGGGTCGGGGGAGGGGGGAGGGATAGCATTGGGAGATATACCTAATGATAGATGACACGTTAGTGGGTGCAGCACACCAGCATGGCACATGTATACATATGTAACTAACCTGCACAATGTGCACATGTACCCTAAAACTTAAAGTATAATAAAAAATACAAAATAAAAAATAAAAAAAATAATAATAAAAAAAATAAAATAAAATAGGTGTGCTGTGTGTCACTGATAAAGCAGTGAAACCTAAAAGAAGCTGTAATTTTAGTTCAAATACGATTGTATTTCAAAGATGTGGATGAATTCCTTCTGCTTTTTGTTCTCCATAGTTCCACTCCTCAGTGGCCAAACTGCCTTTTTCCTAAAATTAATTTTGCTAGCAGACAAATATATGTATACTTAATATAAGTAATTAATATGCTTTAGAAGAGTGGTGAAATGCCCGTTAAAGTAGCAAAAATAAATAACAACAGCTAAATGTTTACAACATTATTGGGAATCCAATATATTCATTCTTTTGGCAGCACTGAAAATTGACTCAATTCTAGCAAACAATCTGGCAATGTATAACAAAGCTGTGATTCAAAATGACAAGTATGAAGATTGTATTTTATGCACATTTCAATGTATCAAGATAAAAGAAAAAATTGAACTCAAAATACCATCTATCACTGACTGCAAATGAGAATGTGCATATGTGTATTAGCATATAAATAAAGTGGCAAGAAATTGAAAAAAAAAAAAAAGAACTGGAAATTGTCAAGGGAATCTGAACCCAGCTACCATATGAGAGAGTTCAACTTACGTTCAATGTGAATACCATGGCAATATTAAAAGGTAAGAATTCACTCCATACGTGCTTGAGGTAAATAGGAGAAACCTAGAATTTATGTAAACAGTGAGAAGATTGGATGCGTTTTCCGTCATATATTTTAATACTAGCAGCATATTATATATGTCAATCCATCAGGCATTCAAAAGTACATGCTTATGAAAATTTTTTGCACCATCAAACAAAAGACAAAGGTAGAAGACATTTGTAACCCTATAAACACTAGTAAATTAAAAACAGAAGGACCTTTATGTCCTAATATATCTATGTTGTGAAAGGCTGCCCTGTGAAATATGGGATATCTTAAATATATTTTAAAAATCATAGGTGTCAATATTTTTTAGAAATCCATTTAAATTTTCTCTTGCTTTTTTACAATTCCTATTTATTTATTTAGTGGTTCTGCTGATTTTGATGTATATCCTAAACTTTACATTTTCTTTAAAGTATGTTTTATACAACTTTATGTAAAATGTTTCAGTATCTTCACATTCTCTCCCTGTCCTTTTGTTTTGCTCTTATATGGTGGCCTTGAGTCTTTTCTCTGGCTTTTCAAACCTAGTAAGACTAAGAAACCAAAGTAACTTTGCCCGTGGTTTGGTAATGCCTTCTAAAGCACATCCTAAGCTCTCATGCATACAGGGGTCTCCTTTGAGCTCTATGCTTTTGAGATCCCATATACCTAAATTCCATTACTCCAAATCAGTACTGCTCAGTTTTAGTTACTAAGTTTAAAAATGTATTTTATTTTATTTTACTTTTTGTAAAATATATTTATTTATTGGACATTATCATTGTATTTCTAGTCACTAAACATTCTGTAACATCTTATTTTGATTCTTTATTTTTATTTTTATTTTTTTATTTTTAATTTTTTTATTATACTTGAAGTTTTAGGGTACATGTGCACATTGTGCAGGTTAGTTACATATGTATACATGTGCCATGCTGGTGTGCTGCACCCACTGACTTGTCATCTAGCATTAGGTATATCTCCCAATGCTATCCTTCCCCCATACCCCCACCCCAATACAGTCCCCAGAGTGTGATATTCCCCTTCCTGTGTCCATGTGATCTCATTGTTCAATTCCCACCTATGAGTGAGAATATGCGGTGTTTGGTTTTTTGTTCTTGTGATAGTTTACTGAGAATGATGATTTCCAATTTCATCCATGTCCCTACAAAGGACATGAACTCATCATTTTTTATGGCTGCATAGTATTCCATGGTGTATATGTGTCACATTTTCTTAATCCAGTCTATCATTGTTGGACATTTGGGTTGGTTCCAAGTCTTTGCTATTGTGAATAATGCCACAATAAACATACATGCACATGTGTCTTTATAGCAGCATGATTTATAGTCCTTTGGGTATATACCCAGTAATGGGATGGCTGGGTCAAATGGTATTTCCAGTTCTAGATCCCTGAGGAATCACCACACTGACTTCCACAATGGTTGAACTAGTTTACAGTCCCACCAACAGTGTCAAAGTGTTCCTATTTCTCCACATCCTCTCCAGCACCTGTTGTTTCCTGACTTTTTAATGATTGCCATTCTAACTGGTGTGAGATGGTATCTCATTGTGGTTTTGATTTGCATTTCTCTGATGGCCAGTGATGATGAGCATTTTATCATGTGTTTTTTGGCTGCATAAATGTCTTCTTTTGAGAAGTGTCTGTCCATGTCCTTTGCCCACTTTCTGATGGGGTTGTTTGTTTTTTTCTTGTAAATTTGTTTGAGTTCATTGTGGATTCTGGATATCAGCCCTTTGTCAGATGAGTAGGTTGCGAAAATTTTCTCCCATTTTGTAGGTTGCTTGTTCACTCTGATGGTAGTTTCTTTTGCTGTGCGGAAGCTTTTTAGTTTAATTAGATCCTATTTGTCAATTTTGTCTTTTGTTGCCATTGCTTTTGGTGTTTTAGACATGAAGTCCTTGCCCATGCCTATGTCCTGAATGGTAATGCCTTGGTTTTCTTCTAGGGTTTTTATGGTTTTAGGTCTAACGTTTAAGTCTTTAATTGATCTTGAATTGATTTTTGTATAAGGTGTAAGGAAGGGATCCAGTTTCAGCTTTCTACATATGGCTAGCCAGTTTTCCCAGCACCATTTATTAAATAGGGCATCCTTTCCCCATTGCTTGTTTTTCTCAGGTTTGTCAAAGATCAGATAGTTGTAGATATGCGGCATTATTTCTGAGGCCTCTGTTCTGTTCCATTGATCTATATCTCTGTTTTGGTAGCAGTACCATGCTGTTTTGATTACTGTAGCCTTGTAGTATAGTTTGAAGTCAGGTAGTGTGATGCCTCCAGCATTGTTCTTTTGGCTTAGGATTGACTTGGCAATGGGGGCTCTTTTTTGGTTCCATATGAACTTTAAAGTAGTTTTTTCCAATTCTGTGAGGAAAGTCACTGGTAGCTTGATGGGGATGGCATTGAATCTATAAATTACCTTGGGCATTGTGGCCATTTTCACGATATTGATTCTTCCTACCCATGAGCATGGAATGTTCTTCCATTTGTTTGTATCCTCTTTTATTTCCTTGAGCAGTGGTTTGTAATTCTCCTTGAAGAGGTCCTTCACATCCCTTGTAAGTTGGATTCCTAGGTATTTTATTCTCTTTGAAGCAATTGTGAATGAGAGTTCACTCATGATTTGGCTCTCTGTTTGTCTGTTGTTGGTGTATAAGAATGCTTGTGATTTTTGGACATTGATTTTGTATCCTGAGACTTTGCTGAAGTTGCTTATCAGCTTAAGGAGATTTTGGGCTGAGACAATGGGGTTTTCTAGATATACAATCATGTCGTCTGCAAACAGGGACAATTTGACTTATCCTAAATATATATGCACCCAATACAGGAGCACCAAGATTCATAAAGCAAGTCCTGAGTGACCTACAAAGAGACTTAGACTCCCACACATTAATAATGGGAGACTTTAACACCCCACTGTCAATGTTAGAGAGATCAACGAGACAGAAAGTCAACAAGGATACCCAGGAATTGAACTCAGCTCTGCACCAAGGGGACCTAATAGACATCTACAGAACTCTCCACCCCGAATCAAGAGTTTATACATTTTTTTCAGCACCACACCACACCTATTCCAAAATTGACCACATAGTTGGAAGTAAAGCTCTCCTCAGCAAATGTAAAAGAAAAGAAATTATAACAAACTATCTCTCAGACCACAGTGCAATCAAACTGGAATTCAGGATTAAGAATCTCACTCAAAACTGCTCAACTACATGGAAACTGAACAACCTGCTCCTGAATGACTACTGGGTACATAACGAAATGAAGGCAGAAATAAAGATGTTCTTTGAAACCAATGAGAACAAAGACACAACATACCAGAATCTCTGGGATGCATTCAAAGCAGTGTGTAGAGGGAAATTTATAGCACTAAATGCCCACAAGAGAAAGCAGGAAAGATCCAAAATTGACACCCTAACATCACAATTAAAAGAACTAGAAAAGCAAGAACAAACACATTCAAAAGCTAGCAGAGGGCAAGAAATAACTAAAATCAGAGCAGAACTGAAGGAAATAGAGACACAAAAAACCCTTCAAAAAATTAATGAATCCAGGAGCTGATTTTTTGAAAGGATCAACAAAATTGATAGACCGCTAGCAAGACTAATAAAGAAAAAAAGAGAGAAGAATCAAATAGACGCAATAAAAAATGATAAAGGGGTTATCACCACCCATCCCTCAGAAATACAAACTACCATCAGAGAATACTACAAACACCTCTACGCCAATAAACTAGAAAATCTAGAAGAAATGGATAAATCCCTCGACACATACACTCTCCCAAGACTAAACCAGGAAGAAGTTGAATCTCTGAATAGACGAATAACAGGATCTGAAATTGTGGGAATAATCAATAGCTTACCAACCAAAAAGAGTGCAGGACCAAATGGATTCACAGCCGAATTCCACCAGAGGTACAAGGAGGAACTGGTACCATTCCTTCTGAAACTATTCCAATCAATAGAAAAAGAGGGAATCCTCCCTAACTCTTTTTACAAGGCCAGCATCATTCTGATACCAAAGCCAAGCAGAGACACAACCAAAAAAGAGAATTTTAGACCAATACCCTTGATGAACATTGATGCAAAAATCCTCAATAAAATACTGGCAAATCAAATCCAGCAGCACATCAAAAAGCTTATCCACTATGATCAAGTGGGCTTCATCCCTGGGATGCAAGGCTGGTTCAATATACGCAAATCAATAAATGTAATCCAGCATATAAACAGAGCCAAAGACAAAAACCACATGATTATCTCAATAGATGCAGAAAAAGCCTTTGACAAAATTCAACAACCCTTCATGCTAAAAACTCTCAATAAATTAGGTATTGATGGGATGTATTTCAAAATAATAAGAGCTATCTATGACAAACCCACAGCCAATATCATACTGAATGGGCAAAAACTGGAAGCATTCCCTTTGAAAACTGGCACAAGACAGGGATGCCCTCTCTCACCACTCCTATTCCACATAGTGTTGGAAGTTCTGGCCAGGGCAATCAGGCAGGAGAAGGAAATAAAAGGTATTCAATTAGGAAAAATGTATTTTAATAGCAAGTTAGTTTAGTGCACTCTTACTTCTTTCTTTACTACTGGTATACATGTATATTCCTTTAAATAAATCTTGGAATTTATTTAAAAATTTTAAATTATACTAATGAAACTGTATATTGTTGTGGATTCATAGGTGAATTTGGAAAGAATTTGTCTTTATGATACTAAATCCTTTTTATCCAAGAATCATATGTGCCTTTATATTAATTCCAGTCTATATTTATATCACTGTGTAAATATATAGAAAGGTAGATACATACAGCTGTAGTTATAGATAGATACACATATGGATAAAACATGTTAAATCTATATCTATCCCATATAACATATATGCATGTTATATGTGTGTGTGTGTATATATATGTTTGTGTTATTAAAGAGCTCCCTTAAAATTTTTCTTTTATTTCCTATATAATTTTAGGTTGAACTTGAATTTTCCTTGTATAAACAAGCAAATATTTATACTAGTTTTAATACTGAGGTTTAGACATTCTATCTTATTTTAGCATTGAATATTTTCACAATTATTATAAATATTATGTAATATTAATAATGTAACTTAAAAATATTTAAAATTGTACCTTTGAATTATTTTATTGTTGAATTTAAATTCCTTTAAGTATGATAGTAAATTTATATTTTATGCTTTCTCTATGCATATGCAAATTATCCACTTCTCTACCTCTATGTAGTAACATATGAAAATCAGGCCTCTGTTCTTCTAATGGACATACACATGTTTTCATATAGAATATCAGACTCTTTATAGTATTTAAAATCTTTAAAGACGTGAATATGACCTTTTAACAAATATATTTTAGCTTGTACTGAGAATCCCCTATTTATTTTTTATTTGAGCTAACCAATATATTATTAATATTATAGGATTACCAAATTTGGAATCACACTTTCATCCCCAAGGTGGATATTTGTTTTATTTTTTTGCCAATTTCTTGTCTTACTGTTTCAAATATTGTTGGATATTATTTTTATTTTATTTGGCATTTTAGTATCAATATTTGTGAGTGATGTACTCTACGTATTTTTTCTTCAATATCTGGTGGGTTTTATAATTACTGCTATATTGGATTTGTAGTAGACATTGAGAAAAATTATTCCTGCATGTTTTATAGCTGTATGAAGGAAACTAATATATTTTACCCCAAAATATATTTCCTTGAAATATTTCAAAATGGCTATTGAGAAGGGCTGGAAATGCAAACTTAGCTGCAAAGCTGTCTTGGGGAGATTCGCATCGGTAGAGAATCTGCCTTGATGCAGCCAGGCTTTCTCTGAGGTCTGCCCCCTTGTCTGGATCTAGGAAAGGTTAACTGAGTGTCGGAGGTCTCCAAAGGTCTGAAAGAAACATTTTCTGTCTATTCTCTCTGAGGACTGCTCCCAGTGAGGTTTCACCTACGTAATAAGTCCACTGTTGCTAGACAGGGTACTTTTCCCACATAACCTTTTTTTTTTTTCCCTGTGATCCAAGACCCCATTCTTTCTGTAAACTTCATGTGGTAGATAAGCTTCTGCACCCATCGTGTGTCTGGGTCTTCATTGTAAGGGCTCCAGTGTACACACATTGCAGAAACCTGTTTGCCTTTTCTACTATTTATCTGCCTCCTATTAGTGATTATCAGGGAAACTTCAGAAGGCAAAAGGGACATTCTCCTTTAGCCCATACTCAGACAAAATCCCCCAACATTTAACTGATTCCTAATAGCTTAAAATCACTTTGAAAACTCCATATATTTATAACCTTTTCTTCCCTCTATGATTTCTGTTCAGCTTGTGTTTTGTTTTTTATTGCATTTACTTCATCCTCGAAAAGACCTATTTTATGTCTATTTATTCTCATTTATTGACATTGAGAAAAGAAAATAACTTTCATGTTAGAAATGCAAGTCCTTTTAAATAATCAGGCCCAGAGAGATATTCAAAGGAGACAGCAGTTCTGTCCTGCTCCTCTTTGAGCTGTGTGTTCATCTAGGCTGCTTGCTGTTGCCACAGTAGCTATAAATTAACCAATAATGCCACACCAGACACTATAATCCACACCCAATAATAGTGTAACAGTGTATAGCAAGTCACTAATAAATGTTATTTCCATAAGCCAATGAGAATTTGTGACAAACCTCTTTGCATCATCCCACTTCTTGTCCCTTTTTTGCCTTTAAGAAACTGCTTGTTGCAAAGCTCCAAATGGAGTTCATATCCAAGGATACTTGGGTCTGTTTCTTCCAGGCAGCTGTCCTCATTGTGGCTCAAGTAAACTCTGAATTACATTTTGTGCCTCAGCCTCTTCCACTTAGATTAACAACATGGATTTGTGTCACCATGTACAGCAATTAAAATGTTTACACTTTTCCCCTCGAGGGCACTGATGTGTTTTCCTGAGCACTTGGAATAGCTACATAGTGTTTCCTGTCTAGATTATGGTTTCTCAACCTTGGTGCTACTTACCTTTAGGACCAGAGGATTCTTTGTTGTGGGAGGCTGCCCTAGCAATGCTAGGTGTTTCGTTTGACCTCTAAATTTCACACCTCCACCAGTCTTGACATCCCCACAATAACCCTAGACATTGACAAATGTCTCCTGGGGAAAACTCCACCAGTTGACAGCCAAAGTTCTTGAAATATTGGAATCGTCAATTGAGTTTTTATGTTATCCAAAACAAATATTTTTCTTTGTTTTTAAACATCTACTTCCATCTACTTATCTACTTATTTTTACTTTTATTTGTAACTTAATTCCATCAAGGAGAGAGAGTGCATTTTGTGTATGCTAAATTTTTGAAGAATGTATTGATTTTTTATGACCTGATATATGGATGATATGTAGATATCACATGTTTGTATTATCAAATTTTGGGGCAATAATAAAATAAATACTTATAATATTTATATTGTCACTGTATATTAGTTATTTCTTTCTTCACTACAGGAGTTTTTCAACCTATAGGCTATTTTTCAATTCAAGGTTATCCAGTAGATTTTGAAATGTTATGATTAAATATCTACCTCTCAAGCATTCATGTTTGCAAAGGAATCAATCCCAAGCTCTTATAATGCACATCATATAAAGGGCAGATTAGTCAATATATGGTTCAGAAATAATTATGTAATATTTATAAGAAAATTAAAAATTTAGATCCTTAACTCAGATAACAATAATCCAAATTAAAATTTGATTTAATTACATAATTTTAAATGACACCAGAATACTAGTAAAAATGTAGATAAGTTTATATAATCCTTTTTAGCTGTAGAACTTTATTAGCATAAATTCAAACTACAGGAACCAAAGTAAGATTGAGACCTATAGTCAAAGGTTAAAATGTACACATTATAGGGGCATGATTAAACTAATTTAAAGCATAATAACATGGAGAAATATTGCAAAACATACATTTTACTGAATTAATTGTTAATATCTAATCATTACGTGAGAACAAAGGTAAAGAGTAGATACACACACACACCCACACACAAGTGCAATATTGTCAATAAACGTGATGTTCAGCTACACTAGAAATCACACCTATGTTTTCTCCACAGAAAAGTAAAGATTAAAAATCACAATAATATTTATTGTACATATGGAGGTAAAGATACTCAAAATATTACCCTAAAATACTTTTTTTTTTGAGATGGAGTTTTGCTTTTATTGCCCAGGCTGGAGTGCAATGGCACAATCTTGGCTCACTGCAACCTCAGCCTCCCAGGGTCAAGTTATTCTCCTAGCTCAGCCTCCCAAGTAGCTGAGATTACAGGCATGCACCACCACACTCGGCTAATTTTTTGTATTTAGTAGAGACGGGGTTTCACCATGTTGGTCAGGCTGGTCTCCAACTCCTGACTTCAGGTGATCTACCCACTTCAGCCTCCCAAAGTGCTGGGATTACAGGCGTGCACCTGGCCAACTTTTTGACATATTTCAAGATGGCTACTCGGAAGACTGGAAATAGCTTCTTCTACAAGAATAGCTGAAAAGCTGTGTTTGTTGGGGAGATTTGCATTTGTAGAGAAAATCTGCATTGATATAGACAGGCTTTCCCTGAGATACTCCCTTGTCTGGGTTTAGGAAAGATTAACTGAGTCTGGCACGTTTACATTTCTAAAAACCATTTCCTATCTTTACTTCCCAAGAGGAGGGCTGCTCCCTGTGAGGTTTCATCCATGTAACAAGACCACCTCTGCTGCCAGGCTCCTCTTTCTTCCTTGTCATCACCTGCCTTCTGCAAAGCCTGATTTAGCAAAGTGCAGCTCTGTGTTTTCTGTAACCTCAAGACAGCATAGGCGTGTTGACTACCTTGCCTTTCCTGGAGTTTTTATACATATACAGTATATATTTGTATATCTATTTATAATATACAAATATTTGTATATACATATTTATGTATATTATGTAAACTCCAAGTGCATACTTGTGCACATAATTATATCTGTAAACCTTTTTTCCTGTTAATTTGTACATTATCAGTTTGTTTGATAGACTCCAATAATTAAAGCTTCAAGGGAAAAATTTAAACTTTCCTCTAGAGAAAAGACAAATATATATGTGACAAATAATATTTAGAGTGTAAGACGCTTTTTAAAGGTATATTTGCAATTTGTGTCAAAACATTTAAATATACATTTGTTACTTTATAAAATTTCAAATAATTTAAGCTAAATACATAGAATATGCAGAAAATTTAGCAATATTTGTATGTAGCACCTTACTGTGCATTACTGTAACCAGCTGTCTAATATAAAGAACTAATTAAGGTAGCACCTACTTTTCAAATATCGCATTTTTTCACAGACCTATTAAATAAGACAAATAACATTTAAACTTTATTTTTAAATTTGCAGAATAGTATTTTTCAGCAGATGGTTTATTTTAGCA
Organism: Homo sapiens; assembly: GCF_000001405.40. Lineage (NCBI taxonomy): Eukaryota > Metazoa > Chordata > Mammalia > Primates > Hominidae > Homo > Homo sapiens. Next base: position 15,225,602 of record NC_000018.10, read on the forward strand.
AATTCCGTCTTCACATTGTGCTATGCTTTTATGAGTTCCAGCTGTTAACCGATAATATTTTACTGCTGAATCTATCATGTGTGATATAATTGCTCATTATGTGCCTTAAAACACAAGCGATATAGTTATTTTCAACTTGGAGCAAATTAAAATTTTATCAGCAATTTAAAAAGTCTAGAGTAGTCTTCTTCTGGTTTATTATTTTAAACTTGTATTTTTCTCTTTATGTTTTTAGTGAGTTGTCTTATCAAGGAGAAGAACTCAAGCTGATTATTCTTTTTTTTTTCTCTTCCATCCACCTCGCTGGTGTGTGAATAATTTCATTTCTCAGAAAATGTTCTTTCATATCCATCTTATAAGATGAGAGACGTTTTAACATCTTCCATTCGGATGTGATACCAGTAATGGAAAATATTCCAGCTTCATGAATATGGTGATACAAATAGTTATCCGTCTAACTTCTGTCAGTGCCAAATGTTTACTTTACTCAGTGAATTACTCAGCTGACTGGTAATTTCTTCTGAAATCACTAATGAGAGGATCAGAGGTCTGGCTGTTGTCTGTACCTCGTATGACTCCCAGTGCAGACAATTGTTTCTATGGAGCACAGACAGTTGAATGGATTGACTTCATGCCTAGAATAGTTTCTGCTGTGCTTCTTATCCTTCTTGTGGAGATTTCAGATTATCTGAATTGCTTTTCTATCTTAAGAAAAAACTCCACAATTCTCCCACCTGAGAGGAATGTAAACTTTAGTAAGTTAGCAGAAGCAATCCGTAAAGTTTTTACATTGTTTGCTGTAAAATGCAGCGTTGGTGTCTCCATCACTAACCTTTTCTATCCCTCATTGCTCTTTCTTTGACTGCACTAGGATACCTCTAGGCAAATCTGTATTCCCGAGACAGAGTGCCCTTTCTGTTAGCTATAAGTACACTCAATGGTAGGCTGAAATGATAGTTTTTATCTATGGCAAAATGGAATCATATCAGTGATTTTTTTTAAAAGGAAATTTAACTCTTGCTATGGTTTGAATGCTTGCCCCTTCCAAATCTCCTGTTAAAATTTGATCCCCAATGTTGCAGGTGGGGCTTACTGGGAGGTGTTTTGTCATGGGGATGGACCTTCATGAATGGATAATACCCTCCCTTGGGAATCTCAAGCTATCCTCCCTCCTCGGTGCCCTCAGGAATGAAAGTACCATTCTTTATTCAACTATAATTCCCCCACCCATCCCTTTTGAGATATTAATTAAATGTATGTTACACTGCTGCATATTGTCTCACGTATCAGTGAGTTTCTGGCTTTCTTATTTTAGTTTACCCTTTGTCCTTTAGTTTGTAAAGCTTCTAATTTTTCTATATATTTTCTGATGTTAGGGTAAAATCCATGACTTATTCTATCTCATGGAATTTTTATTTCAAATATTTATTTTTCATCTATGTGTGTCACATTTTTCATTTTATAACTTCCATTTTTCTCCTATGTTCAATTTTCATTTAAGTACTTTGACTTATATATGTATTTATCTATATGTATTTATAAAATATATTTACTTTAAGGACCTTGAAAATTCCTTCTTCTGTCATTTATAAATGACTTATTTTTATCCTATTAATATATATCTTAATAATATATATCTTCCGGCTTCTTTGCATGTCAGAGTTTTTTTTGGGGGGGGTATTTTGATGTTATGCTATTGAATATCTAGATTTTATTCGCTACCTTTGAACAATGTTGTGGCAGGCAGTTCAGTAACTTCAGGATGAGTATTTTTCTGTTGTTGTTTTAAATCTTCTCTTTAAACTTTGTTGAGTTAGTCTAGAGCCATCTGTAATTTGGAGCTAAATGAGCACTGTCACTAGGGCATGAACCTCCAGTGGTCTTTACTGAATATCCTGGAGGTACAGAGGGGATTCCCTTCTCTGGCTGGTCAGAGCTAACATGTCTTCCTGTCATGTGATGCCAGGGAAGTGTTCTTCCAACTCCCTGGTAGAGTCCTTTGCTGAGCTCCTTAGAATTTCATCCTATGTACATTTGGCTTAGGGACTTGGGAGAAACCTTAGGCTGATTATTGGTTCCTTTTTCTGTAAACATTCTCTTCTACTACACATTCTAGCTGCTTAACATTTTGGTTTTTATCTGGTTCCTCAGTGCAATGACAATGTCTGCTCTCTCTGGGATTCGTCTCTACTGCTGTCACGGAGAACCTGGGAATAAAGCAGGACTCATTCTGGCTCCTTCTTTTCTCTTGCGGAGCACTGTCCTGTGCTGCCTGATGTTCAGTATTTCAAAAAAAGTTTCATATATTTTGTCCAGTTTACTATTCTTTAACTCTAAAAGAGTAACTCCAGTCCCAGTTACAGCATCATGTTCTGTAACTCTACTCCTTGTTGCTTCATTCTGCCATTGTCTGGTATGATTGCCCCTTTCCCTTCTGTAATCAGGCCAAGAGCATAACATAATACTAGTTATAACTGCACAGCTTGCCTCCGTTGTGTAAAAAAATCACTGAGACTTAACTGTGTCCAACTTTTTAAATGTGAATATAAGTACAACTAAAGCTATATTTTGTTTAATATTTGCATTGCATGCTTTTCCATTATTTAGTTTTAACATATGTGAAATATAAATATAAATTATAAAAACTTTAAGAGAGTCCATTTAAAAAATCTGGTCTGATTATGTTTTAACTGGTTTATTACAACGTGCATTCTTGAATTCAGGGTCTAATATAATTGGTACATTTGTCTATTTGCAAAAAAACTTGACAATATTTTAAAATTAGTTTATCCAACTCACAACTTATATGCTTCTGCTGTTGTATGGAAGATGCATTTTAAACTTTATGAGATAGCATTCTGTTATACAGTCGATATCCAATTAAATTTCTCTCTATGTTTATTTCTTTCATTAAAAAAAGCGTTCTTCTAACTGCAAACTTTCATCAGGGATCATAGCTCTTCTACCTGAAGAATAATCTTTAGTATTTCTTTTCCTGTGGGTCTGCTTGGGATAAATTCTTTATTGTATCTTTGCTTTTGATGGATATGTCCACCAAGTAGGCAGTTCTAGGTCGGCACTTATTTTATTTCAGGACTTGAAAGGTATCAATACCTCACTTGTTGGCTTTCATAGTTTCATTTGAGAAGGTTGTTATCAGTCAACTCTTTCTCTTTATAGTTAGCCCAATTTTTTTATCAAGTGCTTTTGACATTTTTCTTTTACTTTTCAGAAATTGTCCCATTATGTTTCTAGGTGTGTCCTCTCTGTGTGTTTTCATTTGGTTTGCAAAGCCTCCTGAACCTGTGGATTAATATTATTGGTCAATTTTGATAAAACCTCTAACATTGCCACTTAAAATGCTGTTCAGACCAGCTGTTTTCTCCTTCTTAGATTTCAACGTGTTAGATTATTACTGTATGCTTTATATTTTTTAAATAACCTTTCTCTACTTTTTTTAGTTGGTTAATCTGTATTAGTGTATATTTTGCTTTTTTATTTTATTTTATTTTATTTTATTATTATACTTTAAGTTTTAGGATACATGTGCACAATGTGCAGGATTGCAACATAAGTATTCATGTGCCATATTGGTGTGCTGCACCCATTAACTCGTCATTTAGCATTAGGAATATCTCCTAATGCTATCCCTCCCCCCTCCCCCGACCACACAACAGTCCCCGAAGTGTGATGTTCCCCTTCCAGTGTCTGTGTGTTCTCATTGTTCAATTCCCACCTATGAATGAGAACATGCTGTGTTTGCTTTTTTGTCCTTGCGATAGTTTACTGAGAATGATGATTTCCAGTTTCATCCATGTCCCTACAAAGGACATGAACTCATCATTTTTTATGGCTGCATTAGTATTCCATGGTGTATATGTGCCACATTTTCTTAATCCAGTCTATCGTTGTTGGACATTTGGGTTGGCTCCAAGTCTTTGCTATAGTGAATACTGCCACAATAAACATAAGTGTGCATGTGTCTTTATAGCAGCATGATTTATAGTCCTTTGGGTATATACCCAGTAATGGGATGGCTGGGTCAAATGGTATTTCTAATTCTAGATCCCTGAGGAATCGCCACACTGACTTCCACAATGGTTGAACTAGTTTACAGTCCCACCAACAGTGTGAAAGTGTTCCTATTTCTCCACATCCTCGGCAGCACCTGTTGTTTCCTGACTTTTTAATGATCACCATTCTAACTGGTGTGAGATGGTATCTCATTGTGGTTTTGATTTGCATTTCTCTGATGGCTAGTGATGAGCATTTTTTCATGTTTTTTGGCTGCATAAATGTCTTCTATTGAGAAGTGTCTGTTCGTGTCCTTCACCCACTTTTTGATGGGATTGTTTGTTTTTTTTCTTGTAAATTTGAGTTCATTGTAGTTTCTGGATATCAGCCCTTTGTCAGATGAGAAGGTTGCGAAAATTTTCTCCCATTTTGTAGGTTGCCTGTTCACTCTGATGGCAGTTTCTTTTGCTGTGCAGAAACTGTTTAGTTTAATTAGATCCCATTTGTCAATTTTGTCTTTTGTTGCCATTGCTTTTGGTGTTTTAGACCTGAAGTCCTTTCCCACGCCTATGTCCTGAATGGTATTGCCTAGGTTTTCTTCTAGGGTTTTTATAGTTTTAGGTCTAATATTTAAGTCTTTCATCCATCTTGAATTAATTTTTGTATAAGGTGTAAGGAAGGGATCCAGTTTCAGCTTTCTACATATGGCTAGCCAGTTTTCCCAGCACCATTTATTAAATAGGGAATCTTTCCCCGTTGCTTGTTTTTGTCAGGTTTGTCAAAGATCAGATAGTTGTAGATATGCGGCATTATTTCTGAGGGCTCTGTTCTGTTCCATTGATCTATGTCTCTGTTTTGGTACCAGTACCATGTTGTTTTGGTTACTGTAGTCTTGTACTATAGTTTGAAGTCAGGTAGCGTGATGCCTCCAGCTTTGTTCTTTTGGCTTAGGATTGACTTGGCGATGCAGGCTCTTTTTTGGTTCCATATGAACTTTAAAGTAGTTTTTTCCAATTCTGTGAAGAAAGTCATTGGTAGGTTGATGGGGATGGCACTGAATCTCTAAATTACCTTGGGCAGTATGGCCATTTTCATGATATTGATTCTTCCAACCCATGAGCATGGAATGCTCTTCCATTTGTTTGTATCCTCTTTTATTTCATTGAGCAGTGTTTTGTAGTTCTCCATGAAGAGGTCCTTCACATCCCTTGTAAGTTGGATTCCTAGGTATTTTACCCTCTTTGAAGCAATTGTGAATGGGAGTTCACTCATGATTTGGCACTCTGTTTGTCTATTATTGGTGTACAAGAATGCTTGTGATTTTTGTAAATTGATTTTGTATCCTGAGACTTTGCTGAATTTGCTTATCAGCTTAAGGAGATTTTGGGCTGAGAAAATGGGTTTTTCTAGATATCCAATCATGTCATCTGCAAACAGGGACAATTTGACTTCCTCTTTTCCTAATTGAATACCCTTTGTTTCCTTCTCCTGCCTGATTGCCCTGGCCAGAACTTCCAACACTATGTGGAATAGGAGTGGTGAGAGAGGGCAACCCTGTCTTGTGCCAGTTTTCAAAGTGAATGCTTCCAGTTTTTGCCCATTCAGTTTGATATTGACTGTGGGTTTGTCATAGATAGCTCTTATTATTTTGAGATATGTCCCATCAATACCTAATTTATTGAGAGTTTTTAGCATGAAGAGTTGTTGAATTTTGTCAAAGGCCTTTTCTGCATCTATTGAGATAATCATGTCGTTTTTGTCTTTGGTTAGGTTGATATGCTAGATTACATTTATTGGTTTGCATATGTTGAACCAGACTTGCATGACAGGGATGAAGCCCACTTGATCATGGTGGATAAGCTTTTTGATGTGCTGCTGGATTCGGTTTGCCAGTATTTTATTGAGGATTTTTGCATCAATGTTCATCAAGGATATTGGTCTAAAATTCTCTTTTTTGGTTGTGTCTCTGCCAGGCTTTGGTATCAGGATGATGCTGGCCTCATAAAATGAGTTAGGGAGGATTCCCTCTTTTTCTATTGATTGGAATAGTTTCTGAAAGAATGGTACCAGTTCCTCCTTGTACCTCTGGTAGAATTTGGCTGTGAATCCATCTGGTCCTGGACTCTTTTTGGTTGGTAAGCTATTCATTATTGCCACAATTTCGGAGCCTGTTATTGGTCTATTCCGAGATTCAACTTCTTCCTGGTTCAGTCTTGGGAGAGTGTACGTGTTGAGGAATTTATCCATTTCTTCTAGATTTTCTAGTTTATTTGCACAGAGGTGTTTGTAATATTCTCTGATAGTAGATTGTATTTCTGTGGGATCGGTGGTGATAACCCCTTTATCATTTTTTATTGCATGTATTTGATTCTTCTCTCTTATCTTCTTTATTAGTCTTGCTAGCAGTCTATCAATTTTGTTCATCTTTTCAAAAAATCAGCTCCTGGATTCATTAATTTTTTGAAGGGTTTTTGTGTCTCTATTTCCTTCAGTTCTGCTCTGATTTTAGTTATTTCTTGCCCTCTGCTAGCTTTTGAATGTGTTTGCTCTTGCTTTTCTAGTTCTTTTAATTGTGATGTTAGGGTGTCAATTTTAGATCTTTCCTGCTTTCTCTTGTGGGCATTTAGTGCTATAAATTTCCCTCTGCACACTGCTTTGAGTGTGTCCCAGAGATTCAGGTATGTTGTGTCTTTGTTTTCATTGGTTTCAAAGAACATCTTTATCTCTGCCTTCATTTCAATATGTACCTAGTAGTTATTCCGGAGCAGGTTGTTCAGTTTCCATGTAGTTGAGCAGTCTTGAATGAGTTTCTTAATCCTGAGTTCTAGTTTGATTGCACTGTGGTCTGAGAGACAGTTTGTTATGATTTCTTTTCTTTTACGTTTGCTGATGAGAGCTTTACTTCCAACTATGTGGCCAATTTTGGAATAGGTGTGGTGTAGTGCTGAGAAGAATGTATATTCTGTTGATTTGGGGTGGAGAGTTCTCTAGATGTCTATTAGATCTGCTCGGTGCAGAGCTGAGTTCAATTCCAGTGTACCTTTGTTAACTTTCTGTTTCATTGATCTGTCTAATGTTGACAGTGGGTTGTTAAAATCTCTCATTATTATTGCGTGGGAGTCTAAGTCTCTTTGTAAGTCACTCAGGACTTGCTTTATGAATCTGGGTGCTCCTGTATTGGGTACATATATATTTAGGATAGTTAGCTCTTCTTGTTGAATTGATCCCTTTACCATTATGTAGTGGCCTTCTTTGTCTGTTTTGATCTTTGTTGGTTTAAGGTGTGTTTTATCAGAGACTAGGATTGCAACCCCTGCCTTTTTTTGTTTTCCATTTGCTTGGTAGATCTTCCTCCATCCTTTTATTTTGAGCATATGTGTGTCTCTGCATGTGAGATGGGTTCCTGAACACAGCACATTGATGGGTCTTGACTCTTTATCCAATTTGCCAGTCTGTGTCTTTTAATTGGAGCATTTAGTCCATTTACATTTAAAGTTAATATTGTTATGTGTGAATTTGATCCTGTCATTGTGATGCTAGCTGGTTATTTTGCTCGTTAGTTGATGCAGTTTCTTCCTAGTCTCGATGGTCTTTACATTTTGGCATGATTTTGCAGCGGCTGGTACTGGTTGTTCCTTTCCATGTTTAGTGCTTCCTTCAGGAGCTCTTTTAGGGCAGGCCTGGTGGTGACAAAATCTCTCAGCATTTGCTTGTCTGTAAAGTATTTTATTTCTCCTTCACTTATGAAGCTTAGTTTGGCTGGATATGAAATTCTGCGTTGAAAATTCTTTTCTTTAAGAATGTTGAATATCGGCCCCCACTCTCTTCTGGCTTCTAGAGTTTCTGCCAAGATGTCCACTGTTAGTCTGATTGGCTTCCCTTTGTGGGTAACCTGACCTTTCTTTCTGGCTGCCCTTAACATTTTTTCCTTCCTTTCAACTATGGTGAATCTGACAATTATGTGTCTTGGAATTGCTCTTCTCGAGGAGTATCTTTGTGGCATTCTCTGTATTTCCTGAATCTGAATGTTGGCCTGCCTTGCTAGATTGGGGAAGTTCTCCTGGATAATATCCTGCAGAGTGTTTTCCAACTTGGTTCCATTCTCCCCATCAGTTTCAGGTACACCAATCAGACATAGATTTGGTCTTTTCACATAGTCCCATATTTCTTGGAGGTTTGTTCATTTCTTTTTATTCTTTTTTCTCTAAACTTCCCTTCTCGCTTCATTTCATTCATTTCTTCTTCCATCACTTATACCCTTTCTTCCAGTTGATCACATCGGCTCCTGAAGCTTCTGCATTCTTCACGTAGTTCTCGAGCCTTGGCTTTCAGCTCCATCAGCTCCTTTAAGCACTTATCTGTATTGGTTATTCTAGATATACATTCGTCTAAATTTTTTCAAAGTTTTTAACTTCTTTGCCTTTGGTTTGAATTTCCTCCTGTAGCTCAGAGTAGTTTGATCGTCTGAAGCCTTCTTTTCTCAACTTGTCAAAGTCATTCTCCACCCAGCTTTTTTCCATTGCTGGTGAGGAACTGCGTTCCTTTGGAGGAGGAGAGGTGCTCTGCTTTTTAGAATTTCCAATTTTTCTGCTCTGTTTTTTCCCCATCTTTGTGGTTGTATCTACTTTTGGTCTTTGATGATGGTGATGTAGAGATGGGTTTTTGGTGTTTATGTCCTTTCTGTTTGTAAGTTTTCCTTCTAACAGACAGGACCCTCAGCTGCAGGTCTGTTGGAGTTTTCTAGAGGTCCACTCCAGACCCTGTTTGCCTGGGTATTAGCAGCGGTGGCTGCAGAACAGCAGATTTTCGTGAACCAAAAATGCTGCTGTCTGATTGTTCCTCTGGAAGTTTTGTCTCAGAGGAGTACCTGGCCGTGTGAGGTGTCAGTCTGCCCGTACTGGGGGGTGCCTCCCAGTTAGGCTGCTTAGGGGTCAGGGGTCAGGGACCCACTTGAGGAGGCAGTCTGCCTGTTCTCAGATCTCCAGCTGTGTGCTGGGAGAACCACTGCTCTCTTCAAAGCTGTCAGACAGGGACATTTAAGTCTGCAGAGGTTACTGCTGTCTTTTTGTTTGTCTGTGCCCTGCCCCCAGAGGTGGAGCCTTAAGAGGCAGGCAGGCCTCCTTGAGCTGTGGTGGTCTCCACCCAGTTCGAGTTCCTGGCCGCTTTGTTTACCTACGCAAGCCTGGGCAGTTGCGAGCGACCCTCCTCAAGCCTTGCTGCTGCCTTGCAGTTTGATCTCAGACTGCTGTGCTAGCAATCAGCGAGACTCCATGGGCGTATCACCCTCTGAGCCAGGTGCAGGATATAATCTCCTGATGCGCTGTTTGTTAAGACCATCGGAAAAGCACAGTATTACAGTGGGAGTTACCCGATTTTCCAGGTGCCGTCTGTCACCCCTTTCTTTGACTAGGAAAGGGAACTCCCTGACCCCTTGCACTTGCCGAGTGAGGCAGTGCCTCACCCTGCTTCGGCTCATGAACTGTGCACTGCACCCACTGTCCTGCATCTGCTGTCTGGCACTCCCTAGTGAGATGAACCCAGTACCTGAGATAGAAATGCAGAAATCACCCGTCTTCTGCATTGTTGACCCTGGGAGCTGTAGACTGGAGCTGTTCCTATTCGGCCATCTTGGCTACACTTGGTAGTTTCTTTTCCCTCTGCTTCTGGGTTCTGAGAATTTGTCACTAACATAGGATTCCAGAACACTGCTGCAGGGTTCTGAGTGATTGTTGCTCACATGGGATTCAAAAACACTCCTGCTGGGTTCAGAGTGTTATCCCTCACATACGATTCCAGAACACTACTACGAGGTTCTGAATGTTTGTCCCTCACAAAGGATTCCAGAACACTGCTGCTGGGTTCTGAGTGTTTGTCCCTCACATAGGATTCCAGAACACTGCTGCTGGGTTCTGAATGTTTGTCCCTCACATAAGATTCCAGAACTCTGCTATGCAGTTCTGAATGTTTGTGGCTCACATAGGATTCCAGAACACTGCTGCTGGGTTCTGAGTGTTTGTCCCTCACATAGGATTCTGGAACGATGCTGCTGGTTTCTGAGTGCTTGTCCCTTATATTGGATTCCAGAACAATGTTATGAGGGTCTGAATGTTTTTCCCTCATGTAGGATTCAAGAACACTGCTAAGAGGGTCTCAATGTTTTTCCCTCACAAAGGATTGCAGAACTCTGTTGCTGGGTTCTGAGTGTTTGTCCCTGATATAGGATTCCAGAACACTGCTATGAGGGTCTGAATGTTTTTCCCTCACAAAGGATTCCAGAACGCTGCTGGGTTCTGTTTGTTTGTCCCCCACAAAGGATTCCAGAGCACTGCTGCTGGTTTCTTAGTGTTTGTTCCGCACATAGGATTCCAGAACACTTCTGCGGTGGTTTGAATATTTGTCCCTCAGATAGGATTCCAGTACACAGTGTCTGGGTTCTGAGTGTTGGTCCCTCACATAGGATTCCAGAACACTGCTTCTGGGTTCTGAGTGTTTGTCACTCACATAGGATTCCAGAACACTGCTTCGAGTGTCTGAGTGTTTGTCCCTCACAAAGGATGCTGGAACACTGCTGCTGGTTTCTGAGTGTTTGTCACTCACAGAGGATTCCAGAACACTGCTTCTGGGTTCTGAGTGTTTGTCCCTCACACGAGATTCCAGAAAACTGCTATGAGCGTCTGAAGGTTTGTCCATAACAAAGGATTCCAGAACAATGCTGCTGGATCTGAATGTTTGTCCCTCACACAGGATTCCAGAACACTGCTTCGAGGGTCTGAGTGTTTGTCCCTCACACAGGATTCCAGACCACTGCTTCTGGGTTCTGAGTGTTTGTTCCACATATAGGATTCCAGAACACAGCTACAAGGCTATGAAAGTTTGTCTCTCACAAAGGATTTCAGAAAAATGCTGCTGGGTTCTGAGTGTTTGTCCCTCACATTGGATTCCAGACCACTGCTTCTGGGTTCTGAGTGTTTGTTCCTCACATAGGTTTCCAGAAAACTGCTGCTGGGATCTGAGGGATTGTCCCTGTCATTGAGTACGAGAACACTGCTGCTGGGTTCTGAAGGTTTGTCCTTCACTTAGAATTGCAGAATACTGCTGCTAGGTTATGAGGGTTTGTCCCTCACATAGAATTCTAGAACTCTGCTGCTGGGTTCTGAGCGTTTCTCTATCACATGAGATTCTGGAACACTGCTAAAATGTAGGAATGTTTGTCCCTCACAAAGAGTCCAGAGCACCGCTTGTGGGTTCTGAGTGTTTGTCCCTCACATAGGATTGCAGAACACAGCTGCTAGGTTCTGAGTGTTTGTCCCAAACATAGGATTCCAAAACACTGCTCAGAGGGTCTGAAAGTTTCTTCCTCACCAAGGATTCCAGAACACTGCTGCTGGGTTCTGAAAGTTTGTCCCTCACATATGATTCCGGAACACTGCTATGAGGGTCTGAATATTTGTCCCTCAAAGGGATTCCAGAACACTGCTTTTGAGTTCTGAGTGTTTGTCCGACACAAAGGATTCCAGAACACTGCTGCTGGCTTCTGAGTGTTTGTCCCTCACATAGGATTTCAGAACACTGCTATGAGGGTCTGCATGTTTTTCCCTCAGAAAGCATTCTGTATCACTGCTACGAGTGTCTGGATGCTTGTCCCTCACATAGGATTCCAGAACACTGCTACTGGGTTCTGACTGTTGGTCCTTCACATAGGATTCCAGAACACTGCTCCGAGGGTCTGAATGTTTGTCCCTCACATAGGATTCCAGAACATTTGCTGCTGGTTTGTGAGTGTTTGTCCCTCATATGGGATTCCAGAACACTTCTGCTGGGTTCTGAGTGTTTGTCCCTCATATAGGATACCAGAACACTGCTATTGGCTTCAGAGTGTTTGTCCCTCACATAGGATTCCAGAAAACTTCTAAGAGGTTCCGAATGTTTTCCTTCAGATAGGATTCCAGAACACTGCTGCTGGGTTCTGAGTGTTTGTCCCTCACATAGGATTCCAGAACACTGCTAAGAGGGTCTGAATGTTTGTTCCTCAGATAGGATTCCAGGACACTGCTGCTGGGTTGTGTGTGTTTGTCACTCACATAGAATTCCAGAACACTGCTACGAGTGTCTCAATGTCTGTCCCTCACATAGAATTCCAGAATACCCCTGCTGTGGTCTGAATGTTTGTCCCTCACATATGATTCCAGGACGCTGCTGCTGTGTTCTGCGTGTTTGTCCCCCACATAGGATTCAAGAACACTCCTGCTGTCTTCTGAACGTGTGTCCTTCACAGAGGATTCCAGAACACTGCTACTAGCCTCTGAATTGTTGTCCCCCACAGAGGATTCCAGAACACTGGTACTAGGGTCTGAATGTGAGTCTCTCACATAGGATTCCAGAACACTAATGCTAGGGTCTGAATGTTTGTCCCTCACCTAGGATTGTAGAACACTGCTACGAGGTTCTGAATCTTTGTCCATCACATAGCATTATAGAACACTGCTACGAAGTTCTGAATGTTTTTCCCTCAGAGAGAATCAAAGAACACTGCTGCTAGCGTCTGAAATTTTGATGATCACATAGGATTCCAGAACTCTCCTGCTGTGGTCTGTATGTTTATCTCTCACATAGGATTCCAGAATACTGCTACGAGGGTCTGAATGTTTGTCCCTCACAAAGGATTCTAGAACACTGCTGCTGGGTTCTGAGTGATTGTCCCTCACATAGGATTCCAGAACACTGCTGCTGGGTTCTGAGTGTTTGTCTCTCACATAGGATTCCAGAACACTGCTACGAGGGTCTGAATGTTTATCCCTCACAAAGGGTTCCAGAACACTGTTACTGGATTCTGAGTGTTTGTCCCTCATATTGGATTCCAGAACAATGCTACGAGGGTCTGAATATTTTTCCCTCACATAGGATTCTAAAACACTGTTACGAGGGTGTGAATGTTTTTCCCTCCCAAAGGAATCCAGAACACTGCAGCTGGGCTCTGAATGTTTGTCCCTCATATAGGATTCCAGAACACTGCTACGAGGATCTGAATGTTTTCCCTTACAAAGGATTGTAGAACTCTGCTACTGGGTTCTGTTTATTTGCCCCTCACAAAGGATTCCAGAGCACTGCTGCATATTTCTTAGTGTTGGCCCCTCACATAGGATTCCAGAACACTTCTCCGAGGTTCTGAATGTTTGCCCTCAGATAGGATTCCAGTACACTGGCTGGATTCTGAGTGTTTGTCCCTCACATAGGATTCCAGATCACTGCTACAGGTTCTGAATGTTTGTCCCTCACAAAGGATTCTAGAACACTGCTACTGGTTTCTGAGTGTTTGTCCCTCACAAAGGATTCTAGAACACGGCTTCTGGGTTCTGTGTGTTTGTCCCTCACATAGGATGCCAAAACACTGATGCTGGGTTCTGAGTGTTTGTCCCTCACTTAGCATTCCAGAACACTGCTGCTCGGTTCTGAGTGTTTGTCCCTCACATACAATTCCAGAACACTGCTACGAACTTCTGAAGGTTTGTTGCTCACATAGGACTCCAGAACACTGCTGCTGGGTTCTGAGTGTTTGTCCCTCACATAGGATTCCAGAACACTGCTACGAGGGTCTGAATGTTTATCCCTCCCAAAGGATTCCAGAACACTGCTGCTGGGTTCTGAGTGTTTGCCCCTCAAATAAGATTCCAGAACACTACTGTGACGGTCTGAATGTTTTTCCCTCACATAGGATTCAAAAGACTGTTACGAGGGTCTGAATATTTTTCCCTAACAAAGGATTGTAGAACACTGTCACTGGGTTCTGTTTGTAGGTCCCTCCCAGAGGATTCCAGAACACTAATACGAGGGTCTGAATGTTTGTCCCTCACATAGGATTCCAGAACAGAGCTGCTGTGTCCTGATTGCTTGTCCCTCACAAAGGATTCCAGAACACTGATGCTGGGTTCTGAGTGTTCGTCTATCACATAGGATTCCAGAACAAAGCTGCTGGGTCCTGATTGTTTGTCCCTCACAAAGGATTCCAAAACACTGCTACGAGGGTCTGAATGTTTGTCCCTCATATAGGATTCCAGATCACTGTTGCTGTGTTCTGAGTGTTTGTCCCTCACATAGGATTCCAGAACACTGCTGCTCGGTTCTTCGTGTTTGTACCTCATATAGGATTCCAGAGCACTGCTACAAGACTGAATGCTTGTCCCTTACATAGGATTCCAGAACACTGGTTTGAGAGTCTCAATATTTGTCCCTCACAAAAGATTGCAGACAACTGCTGCTGAGTTCTGAGAGTTTGTCCTTCACTTAGGAATCCACTGATTCTGGGTTCTGAATATTTGTCCTTCACATAGGATTCCAGAACAGTGCTGCTGGCTTCTGAGTGATTGTCCCGCACGTAGGATTCCAGAACACTGCTACGAGGGTCTGAATGTTCTTCCCTCACAAAGGCTTCCAGAACACTGCTGCTGGTTTCTGTTTGTTTGTCCCTCACAAAGGATTCCAGAGCACTGCTGCTGGTTATTTAGTGTTTGTTGCGCACATAGGATTCCAGATCACTTCTGCGAAGGTCTGAATGTTTAGCCCTGAGATAGGATTCCAGTACACACTGGCTCAGTTCTGAGTGTTTGTACCACACACTGGATTCCAGAACACTGCTGCTGGGTTCTGAGTGTTTGCCCCTCACATAGGATTCCAGAAAACTGCTACGAGGACCTTAATGTTTGTCCATCACTAAAGATTCTAGAACAATGCTGCTGGATCTGAGTGTCCCTCACATAGGATAACAGAACACTGCTTCGAGAGTCTAAATGTTTGTCCCTCGCAAAGGATTCTAGAACGTTGCTGCTGGTTTCTGAGTGTTTGTCACTCACATAGGATTCCAGAACACTACTGCTGAGTTCTGAGGCTTTGTACCTCACATAGTATTTCAGAACACTGCTACGAGGTTCTGAATGTTTGACCCTCACAGAGCATTGCAGAACAGGGCTATGGGGATCTGAATGCTTGTCCCTCACATATGAATCCAGAACACTGCTGCAGGGTTCAGAGTGTTTATCCCTCACATAGGATTACAGAGCACTGTTCTGAGCGTCTGAGTGTTTGACCCCCACAAAGGATTGCAGAACACTGCTGCTGGGCTCTGAGTGTTTGTCCCTCACATAGGATTCTAGAACATTGCTGCTGGGTTCTGAGTGTTTGTCTCTCACATAGGATTCCAGAACACTTCTCTGAGGATCTGAATGTTTGTCCCCCACAAAGGATTCCAGAACACTGCTGCTGGGTTCTGAGTGTTTGTCCATCAAATAGGATTCCAGAACACGGCTGCTGGGCTCTGTTTGTTTGTCCCTCACAAAGGATTCCAGAGCACTGCTGCTGGTTTCTGAATGTTTGTCTCTCACATAGGATTCCAGAACACTTCTACGAGGCTCCGAATGTTTGTCCTTCAGATAGGATTCCAGAACACAGTGGCTGTGTGATGAGTGTTTTTCCCTCAAATAGGATTCCACAACACTGCTTTGAGGGTCTGAATGTTTGTATCTCACAAACCAGTCTAAAACACTACTTCTGGGTTCTGAGCGTTTGTCACTCACTAAGGATTCCAGAACACTGCTGCTGGGTTCTGAGTGCTTGTCCCTCACATAGAATTCTAGAACACTGCAGCTCGTTTCTGAGTGTTTCTCCATCACTTTGGATTCCAGAACACTGCTAATATTGTCTGAATGTTCATCCCTTACCAAATATTCCAGAACACTGCTGCTGGGTTCTGAGTGTTTGGCCCTCACATTGGTTTCCAGAACACTGCTGTGATTGTCTGAATGTTTGTCCCTCAAAAATTATTCCAGAGTACTGCTGCTGGGTTCTGAGGGTTTGTCTCTCACATAGAATTAAAGAATACTGCTGCTGAGTTCTGAGATTTTGTACCTCACATATGATTCCAGAACACTGCTATGAGGGTCTGAATATTTGTTCCTCACAGAGCATTCCAGAAGGGTGCTATGAGGGTCTGAATGCTTGTCCCTTACATAGGATTCCAGAACACTGCTCTGAGAGTCTGAGTGTTTAACCCTCACAAAGGATTCCAGAACACTGCTGCTGGGTTCTGAGTGTTTGTCCCACACATAGGATTCCAGAACACTGCTGCTGGTTTCTTAGTGTTTGTCTCTCACATAGGATTCCAGAACACTGCTACGAGGATCTGAATGTTGTCCCTCACAAAGGATTAGAGAACACTGCTGCTGAGTTCTGAGTGTTTGTCCCTCACATAGGATTCCAGAACCCTGCTGCTGGTTTCTTTGGGTTTGTCTCTCACATAGGATTGCAGAACACTGCTACGATTATCTGAATGTTGTCCCTCACAAAGTATTACAGAGCACTGCTGCTGGGTTCTCTCTGTTTGCCCCTCACATTGGATTACAGAACACTGCTGCTAGGTTTGAGGGTTTGTCCCTCACATAGGATTCCAAAACACTGTTGCTGGGTTCTGAGTGTTTGTCCCTCACATACGATTCCAGAACACTGCTACGATTGTCTGAATGTTTGTCCCTCACAAAGTATTCCAGAGCACTCCTGCTGTGTAAAGAGTGTTTGTCCTTCACATAGGATTCCAGAACAGTGCTGCTGGGTTCTAAGTGTTTGTCCCTCACATAAGATTCCAGAACACTGCTACGAGGATCTGAATGTTTGTCCCTCACAAATTATTCCAGAGTACTGCTGCTGGGTTCTGAGTGTTTGTCCCTCACATAGGATTCCAGAACAGTGCTGCTGGATTCTGAGAGTTTGTCCCTCACATAAGATTCCAGAACACTGATATGAACGTCTGAATGTTTGTCCCTCAGATAGGATTACAGAACACAGCTACGAGGGTCTGAATGATTGTCCCTCACATAGGATTCCAGAACACAGTGGCTGGGTTCTGAGTGTTTGTCCCTTATATAGGATTTCAGAACACTGCTATGAATTTCTGAATGTTTGTCGCTCACAGAGGATTCTAGAACTCTGCGGCTGGGTTGTGTTTGTCCCCCACATAGGATTCCAGAATACTGCTGCTGGGTTCTGAGTGTTTGTCCCTCACGTAGGATTCCAGAACACTGCTACGAGAGTCTGAATATTTTTGCCTCTCAAAGGATTCCAGAACACTGCTGCTTGGTTGTGTTTGTTTGTCCCTCACAAGGGACTCCAGTGCACTGCTGCAGGTTTCTGAGAGTTTTTCCCTCACATAGGATTCGAGAACACTTCTACGAGGGTCTGAATGTTTGTATCTCACAGTGGAATCTACAAAACTGCTGCAGGGTTCTGAGTGTTTCTCACTCATATAGGATTACGGAACACTGCTGCTGGGTTCTGAGAGTTTATTCCTCACATGGGATTCCAGAACACAGCTGCTGGGTTCTGAGTGTTTGTCCCTCACATAGGATTGCAGAACACTGCTACGAGGGTCAGAATGTTTGTCCATCACAAAGGACTCCAGAATATTGCTGCTGGGTTCTGAGTGTTTGTCCATCACATAGGATTCCAGAACACTGTTCCAAGGGTCTGAATGTTTTTCCCGCTCAAAGGATTCTAGAACACTGCTGCTGGGTTCTGAGTGTCCCTCACATACGATTCCAGAACACTGCTGTGAGGTTCTGAAACTTCGTCCATCACAAAGGATTCCAGAACACAGCTGCTGTGTTCTGAGTGTTTGTCGCTCACATAGGATTCCAGACCTCTGCTGCTAGGTTCTGAGTGTTTGTCCCACACATAGCATTCCAGAACAATCCTGCTGGGTTCTGAGTGTTTTTCCCTCACATAGGATTCCAGAGCACTGCTGCTGGGTTCTGAGTGTTTGTCCCATATATAGAATTCCAGAACAATGCTACGATGGTCTGAATGTTTTTCCCTCACATAGGATTCCAGAACACTGCTGAGTGTCTGAATGTTTGTCCTTCACAAAGGATTCCAGAGCACTGCTGCTGGGTTCTGAGTGTTTGTCCCTCATATAGGATTCCAGAACACTGCTACGGGGGTCTCCATGTTTTTCCCCCACAAAGGCTTCCAGAACACTGCGCTGGTTTCTATTTGTTTGTCCCTGTCAAAGGATTTGGGAGCACTTCTGCTGGTTTCTTAGTGTTTGTCACGCACATACGTTTCCAGAACACTTCTACGAGTTTCTGAACGCTTGTCCCTCACAAAGGATTCCAGAAAACTGCTGCTGGGTTCTGAGTGTTTGTCCCTCACATAGGATTCCAGAACTCTCCTGCTGGGTTCTGTTTGTTTACCCCTCACAAAGGAATCCAGAGCACTGCTGCTGGTTTCTGAGTGTTTGTCCCTCACTCAGGATACCAGAACACTGCTACGATGGTCTGAATGTTTGTCCGTCACAAAGGATTCATAACATTGCTATGGGTTCTGACTGTTTGTCCCTCACAATGGATTTCAGAAAACTGCTTTGAGAGTCTCAATGTTTGTCCCTCACAAAGTATTCCAGAGCACTGCTGCGGGGTTCTGTGTGTTTGTCCCTCACATGGGATTCGAAAACACTCCTGCTGGGTTCAGAGTGTTTTCCCTCACATAAAATTCCAGAACACTGCTACAAGGTTCTGAATGTTTGTCCCTCACAAAGGATTCCAGAACACTGCTGCTGGGTTCTTAGTGTTTGACCCTCACATAGGATTCCAGAACACTGCTGCTGGGTTCCGAGTGTTTCTCCCTCACATAGGATTCCAGAACACTGCTGCTCGGTTCTGAGTGTTTGTCCCTCACATAGCATTCCAGAACACAGGTACGAAGTTCTGAATGTTCGTCACTCAAATAGGATTCCAGAACAATGCTGCTGGGTTCTGAATGTTTGACACTCACACAGGATTCCAGAACACTGCTGCTGGGTTCTGAGTGTTTGTCCCTCACATAGGATTCCAGAACACTGCTTCGAGGATCTAAATGTTTTTCCCTCACAAAGGACTCCAGAACACTGTTGCTGGGTTCTGAGTGTTTGCCCCTCATATAGGATTCCAGAACAATGCTACGAGTATCTGAATGTTTTTCCCTCACATAGGATTCCAGAACGTTGCTACGAGGGTCTGAATGAATACTCACAGAGTATTCCAGAACACTGCTGCTGGGTTCTGAATGTTTGTTCCTCACATAGGATTCCAGAACACTGCTGCTGGGTTCTGAGTGTTTGTCCCTCACTTTGGATTCCAGAAAACGGCTATGACAGTCTGAATTTTTGTCCATCACAAAGGATTTTAGAACACTGCTGCTGGATCTGAGTGTTTGTCCCTCACACAGGATTCCAGAACACTGCTTCGATGGTCTGAATGTTTGTCCCTCACAAAGGATTCTAGAACACTGCTGCTGGTTTCTTAGTGTTTGTCACTCACATAGGATTCCAGAACACTGCTGCTGGGTTCTGAGTGTTTGTCCCTCACATACGATTCCAGAACACTGCTACGAGGTTCTGAATGTTTCTCCCTCACAAAGGATTCCAGAACACTGCTTCTGAGTTCTGAGTGTTTGTCTGTCAAATAGGATTCCAGAACACTGCTGCTGGGCTCTGTTTGTTTGTCCATCACAAAGGATTCCAGAACACTGCTATAGGTTTCTGAGTGTTTGTCCCTCACATAGGATTCCAGAACAATTCTACGAGGCTCCGAATGTTTGTCCTTCAGATAGGATTTCAGAACACAGTGGCTGGGTTCTGAGTGTTTGTCCCTCACATAGGGTATCAGAACTCTGCTGCTGGGATCTGAGTGTTTGTCTTTCACAGAGGATTCCAGAACACTGCTGCTTTGTTCTGAGTGTTTGTCCCTCACATAGGATTCCAGAACACTGCCGCTCGGTACTGAGGGTTTGTCCCTCACATAGAATTCTAGAACACTGCAGCTCATTTCTGAGTGTCCCTCACTTAGGATTCTAGAACAATGCTACGATTGTCTGAATGTTTGTTCCTTACCAAGTATTCCAGAACGCTGCTGCTGGGTTCTGAGTGTTTGGCACTCACATTGGTTTCCAGAACACTGCTACGAGGGTCTGAATGTTTTTCCCTCAGAAAGGATTCTGGAACCCTGCTACTGGATTCTGTTTGTTTGTCCCTTACAAAGGATTTCAGAGCACTGCTCCTGGTTGCTGAGTGTTTGTCCCTCACTTAGGATCCCAGAACACTGCTGCTGGGTTCTGAGTATTTGTCCCTCTCATGGGATTCCAGAAACCTGCTGTTGAGTTCAGAGTGTTTGTCCCTCACATTGGATTCCAGAACACTGCTGCTGGGTTTTGAGTGTTTGTCCCTCACATAGAATTCCAGAACACTGCTACGAAGTTCTGAATGTTTGTCGCTCACACAGGATTCCAGAACACTGCTGCTGGGTTCTGAGTTTTTGTCCCTCACATAGGATTCCGGAACAATGCTATGAGGGTCTGAATGTTTATCCCTTACAAAGGATTACAGAACAGTTCTGGAATCCTATGTGAGGGACAAACACTCAGAACCCAGCAGTGTTCTGGAATCCTATGTGAGGTCAGTGTGGGGGGATGGGTGAGGGATAGCATTAGGAGATATACCAAATGCTAAATGACGAGTTAATGGGTGCAGCACACCAACATGGCACATGTATACATATGTAACAAACCTGCACATTTTGCACATGTACCCTAAAACTTAAAGTATAATAATAAATTTTAAAAATTAAATAAAAAAATTAAAAAAAGAATTAACATAGTTTTATGTAGTCTTCAGTAGACAACATTCATCCATGTAAATTAAACAGTATTTTCTACAATCATGTGAATATAAGGCCACACTATTTACTATGAATAAATCCCTTAAATAGTAATTTTAATATCGTTATTTATTCTTTTGAAATATAAAGTATTATAACTGAGTTAAGGTTACAGATAATTTAAAAAATGTATGCCATTACTAGTATATTAAGATTATTTATACTTAGATATTTATATGTAATATCCAAAGAAAATTTACTATCTAATTGTTACAGTAGATATTAATCTGACATGCTTATTAATTCATCCCATAGATATAATAATAGGTCAGCTGGGCGTGGTGGCTCATGCCTATAATCACAGCACTTTGGGAGGCCGAGGCAGGCGGATCACCTGAGGTCAGAAGTTTGAGACCACCCTGACCAACATGGAGAAACCCCGTCTCTACTAAAAAAAATACACAATTAGCCGGGGATGGTGGTGCATGCCTGTAATCCTAGCTGCTCGGGAGACTGAAGCAGGAGAATCACTTGAACCTGGGAGGTGGAGGCTGCAGTGAGCTGAGATTGCACCATTGCACTCCAGTCTGGGCAACAAGAGCAAAACTCTGTCTCAAAAACCAAAACAAAACAAAAAGATAGAGTAGTAGGTTAGCAAAATTTTACATTCTATCTTTTTTTGTTGTTTTTGAGATGGAGTCTGGCTCTGTCACCCAGGCTGGAGTGCAGTGGCATGATCTCAGCTCACTGCAACCTCTGCCTCCTGAGTTCAAGTGATTCTCTTGCCTCAACCCCTAAGTAGCTGGGATTACAGGTGTCTGCCACCACGCCTGGATAGTTTTTGTATTTTAGTAGAGATGGTGTTTCACCGTGTTGGCCAGGCTGGTCTTCAACTCCCGACCCAGGTGATCCGCCTGCCTCAGCCTCCCAAAGTGCTGGGATTACAGGCGTGAGCCACCGTATCCTGCCTCACAGTCTATTCTTATGTTTTACTATATTTGGAATGCCACTCTTACAGAACAAATCAATGCAAGTGATGTGACTACCCAAAAATCATGAATCATAATAGTCTTCAGTTAGATATGTTGCAATCTCAGATATAGTTCTACTATGTAAACAGAGCCAAATTCCAATTCTTTATCAAAAAGTGCTGGCGAAGGTTGCCTGATGTGTTCCAGTGTAGATCCTCAATCCAATGGCCAGCAGATGAGAGAGCAGCAGAGATGGAAGAAAAATCTTAAGAAATTCTGCTGAGAATATGCCCCCTTTCTTCATAACACTGTGTTTCGTGTGTTGAGAGCGGCTGTGCATTTTGGGTGTTTAGAGAGAAACTGTCTCAGGGGAGTATTTTCTGGTAGACTTGGCTAATATTATATGTAATCTGAATTTTTCTTTCAGATACTTTTAACCTCTTAATACAATTTTATTCAGACTGAGAGCTGTTTTTCTCTTCAATGCTTTCGGTGTCTGTCTTCAGAAGGGACACCCAAAAGTGTCTCATGGTGTTTCTGAGTGAGTTGGGCTGTCACAATGAGAACTCTTTGGCACTCTAACCAGACCCATGCTGGGAATCCAGCAGTATTTTTTTTGTCACCATTATAAATAGAAACATAGCTGAAACATTGCTCCCATTTCCATTATTGCAAAAGTGCAATCCTACCCAGGAGTCCTGCAGGTTCTCCTCCTGCAGTTCAGGGACCCTGCTCCATAATGTGACACTGGAGTGCAGCTGTGGTGGTTGGAGTCCATGTGGAATGTGGGCTGCCAGCTGTGTGCTGTGAGCTGTGCCTCAGTGGTAGATGGTAGGGGAAGAGATGGGACACAGGCCACCAGGACAGGGCAAGAAGGATTACTGCAGCCCCTGGCCTAGGGAGTAGGGACCCTTTGCTTTGAAATGTAAATAGCCAAAAGAATAGTATCCTATTTCACAGTGTCTGTAAGAGAACCAGAGCCTACTTTCAGCAGGCACCTGGCTGTAAGTTGCAAAACTACCTACTATCATGAAGATGTCAGAAGTTTATTTTTCCTTTCAATATAACCAATTAACATACACAGATGGCCTCCCCAATTACCAGGTGAATTTAGGATAAACTGTGTATGACAAATGGTGCTGTCAAGTCTTCTACTTGAGGACTAATTATAGAGACCTTTCTGTCTTTGCAATCTCTTGAGCAGATTGTCTGTGATTCTTGTCACATCACATTCTGGTTTTATTGTGCAATACAACACTTTTCTTTCTGTTCTGTTATTGTGGGGTTTTTCTAGGATTGGAGATAATTTTCCTTTTAATTATATTTCTCAAACCCTGTTCACAATTACCAGACATTGTATATATGTATAAATTGCCCACCAAGCTTCATTTTAGAGAAGGCTTTCCCCCTCAGGCTTCCAGTCAACTCAGTCAGTTGTGCTTCAAAGTGCACACTGGCCCCAGAGTATGCAGGCAGACTTGTGTCTCTGCCTGTTTCACATCTATAGTCCTCTACAACCACTCGTAGAGAGGTTAAGCCTTTCTACAAGTGGTTGACAAAATTCACAGGACAGTAATCAGCCATTTCACCTCTTTCAGTGACCATAGTGTCTTCAGACCTGAAACTGAGTTGGAGACTATTAGGCCCAGAAGAACAATTAGGGTGACATGTGTGCATTGAGTAAACGTGAGTATCTCAAAGTTCCTCTTTCTCCTCCTCCCCAAATTCCCATAAATGTGCAGTTAACACCTGCCATTTCTCCATCCATCCAGGACCTAAATCTACAATACCAAATTCTGAATCTCGGTCTTGAGATTAGAGGAAAAAGAATAACTTTGATATGAGGATTGCAAGTCCTTTTAGTTTTATCAGGCTCGGAGAGACATAAAAATGAGAACATAATTATGTTCTACTGCCTCCTTTGAGATACATGTTTACCACTTGAAACTGTTTGCTATTCCTACAAGTAGATATAAATTAACCTAATAATGCCACACTAGATGTTATAAGCAATACCTCACAGCTTAAAAATATATAGCCAATTAGTCATCAATGTTATTTTTGTAGATCAAGAAGAATTTCTGAAAAACAACTTTGTTTCAGTCCACTCCCTGTCCCTTTCTTTTGCCTTTGTAAATCCACTTGTAACTGCTGCTAATTAAAGTGTACATTCAAGGCAACTTGAATCTATGCTCCCTGATTTCAATCCTCAGGCTTGGCCCAAATAAACTCTCTACTTAAATGAGTGTTGCTTTAACCTTTTCTTTTTAGGCTGACATATCATGTCCTAGAGCAGACTTTATGATGGAAACTTTTTTTTTTTTTACTCTCCTTGCTGTAACACCAAAGAATGAAGAGTCAGGTTTATCTTACCTGTAATCTGTACATAAGAGCTGAGCTCTCCCTGGGATTCACAGGAGAGAGCCAGATTTTGGATTGAGAATGTACAGAAAACCCATAGGAGACATTTTCTGATCTGTGAGATGTCAGCATAGAAATCTTAAAGCCCTCCTTTCAGAGTGTATCCCTTTGAGCTTTCCAGATCTTTTCCAGTGACCTGCTATGTTTATGTGAGAGGTTGCTGGTGTAAATAGAATCTGGTTGCACAACCTGTAAGTGTAAACATGCATGTCAGTAGGGAGAGATCAAAGCCACAAAATACCCAGTGCAATGACATAAGTTTACCTATTTGTAAAATGTGATACTGGAGTAGAGTATTCTTGTCCTTTCTCTTACCTAAGACCTAGCTAATCAGAACAGGTGATATCACTCATAGATCCAGGTTCTGGAGCTGTACCAGGGCAGTTCCATTTTCTATTTAGAATCAGCTTGAGTCTTTCCTACATGGATCAACATATGGTCATCAGTCCATGGTCACTAGGAATCCTCTCACAATCACCCGGGAATCTTTAAGACATTTCAGGATGTCCTGTACAGACTTGGGTCAGGCTGGCAGGAGTGTCTAATTCTGCTTCCATGTTAGAGGAAGGGAAATGAGTCATTCAGTGTCTGTTCCTTCTTTTGTAGAAATAATCTCCTTGGTTGGTACCTGGACAAGAGTTTCTCCAGTTTCCTTGGCAAAAAATTCAGGAGTTCTGGAGACTCAGACTGATAAACAAATTGCCTCCATTTCATATGGCCTTTAGAAAAATAGATGAAGCAGTCATGGTCTCTGTCATTCAAAAACTCTCAGTCTAGAGCAACTGGATAAATAGTTTAATTAAGCATCATATAGTCAATACAATAAAGTGGGAGTGTTAAGGGGACTTGGGCAATGGCTCTGATGTTGTTGTGACTTCTGATGTCACCACCTGAAGAGCTATTCTCAAACAGGAGAGTTATTTGTATTTCTATTGCTTTTGCCTTGCTAAGAATACATATTTTCTAATAAAATTATCCTAGAAAGCCCTAAAAATTTCAGTTAAATTGCTTGTTATTATACGTTATAAAATAGAGTAGTGGCTAAATGGATTAAAATTATACTAACTCTTAAGTTTCTCTTGGACAGGCTTAGGAAAGACAGAACAAGAAGTACTCCAGCAGTATAGAGATCATAATTCAACATAGGACAGTTTCTCCACCCCAGCTCTGTCCAGATTCACCCTTTTCTGAGACTCATTCAGTTCTGGTCCCACCCTGGAGTCTCTCCTCACAGAACTCATTAGTGGAGACCAGAGATTTGGGAGGTGGCTCCTGCTGCCTCTCCAGAGCTTATGCTCACAATATTCTGAAACCCAAAAGCAGATAAATTAGAGCAATGAACTATATATTTTGAGGTCTTAACTTCTTTCTTTCTAATTAAAACCAGTGCTTGTAGAGACATTCCATCCCAGTAGTTACTCCACAAGTCACAAGAAAGTAAATAGAAACACACTAAAAAATCCTTTCTGTATCCCTCCCATCTGTCTATATTTATCTCTTATGCTATACATTTTTTAAAAAATCAATGAGAGGCCAGGTTCTGTGGCTCATGCCTGTAATACTAGCAATTTGGGAGGTCGAGGTGCATGGATCACTTGAGGTTGGGGGTTCGAGACCAGCCTGACCAATATGGAGAAACCCCATCTCTACTAAAAATGCAAACTTAGCTCAGTGTCGTGGTGCATGCCTGTAATCCCAACTACTCGGGAGGCTGAGGCAGGAGAATCGTTTGAACCCAGGAAGCGGAGGTTGTGGTGAGCTGAGATCATGCCATTGCACTTCCAGCCTGGGCAACATGAGTGAAACTCTGTCCCCCCTCAAAAAAAAATCAATAAGAAATAAACAGGGAAGAAAACAATG
This sequence comes from Homo sapiens, assembly GCF_000001405.40. NCBI lineage: Eukaryota > Metazoa > Chordata > Mammalia > Primates > Hominidae > Homo > Homo sapiens. The sequence goes on from NC_000018.10 coordinate 15,251,541, forward strand.
CTGGCCCCTTCATCTAAATTCTGAGAATTATTGAACACTTAGTACCCAACTCTCAAGTTGTTTTGAAGATTAAATCACATAATGTGATGTTCTCAGCACAGTGCTCTGTAACACTCCTGAGCACATAGTACCTGCTTAATAAGCATTGCATAAGTATATGTGTACATGTTGTTTTTCAGTGCAGACTTACTCAGATATTGTTGCCTTTTCCTGTCTCTGTAAACTTTAAAGAGCTATCAAAGAATGTGGTTTTTCAGGATAGAGATTGATTGTTTATTTGATCAGAAGTATTTGTGTTGTGATGAGTGATGATTGTGAGAGTCTGTTCCATGCCTGCTTTTTCTAGCTAAATGCTACTAATGATGGGTCTGGGGAAGCTACATCAGCATTGACAGGAGATGTGTTTAAAATGCACTTTCATGGATGCTTTTAAAACCTGCAGAATCACATTACATAGTGTGGGGCCAGGGTTACCAAATGATTTATATGCACATTGAAGTTTGAGAGGCAATGCTTAGCTAAGTGGTTCTTGGCCCAGGCTTCTAATTAAGATTCCATGGCCAGGTTGCAGAAATCATTTCACTTGCGCCCTTCCCGCAGGCTCTGTATATTGTTCTGGGTGGAAGCATCCTTGTTGATATAATTAAGTGCCTCATGTGACTCCAGGTTGAGGCCAGGGTCAAACACGAGGAATTCAAAATACATTCATGAGAGTTGAGTTCAAACTTTATTCCAAAGGGAGGTCACAGGGTCTGCTATGGTTGGATTTGGTAGGTACAAGTTAGTGTGGCCCATATCCCCATTGCTGTAGCAGAAATTGTGGCGTCTGTGGCAGGAAAAGAGAAAGATAAATTTTGATTTTGTGGAGGAGCTCACTGTCCTTGAATCTCACCTGTTATAAAGAACATAAATGGGTGGACATTTTCTGCATGCCTGGATCTTTCTACCTGTGTTTGTGGTGGTAGCAGGTGAAGAGATTGTGCTGATTCCTTTAAAGGCATATTCCCAAGATGCAGGTGTGACTTGTCCAGAGAATATCACCTGAGAAGAAATCCTAGAGAAGGATGATGAAGATAAAAATGGCTTTTTCTCAGGTGACTGTGTCTCAGATTAGGAGCAGTGTTCACTCTGCCTCCTGGAATGCCATATGTTTAGAACTTACAAACCTGTACTTGTTGACTTTATGCTGTTTCTCCCTATAAGTTTGTTTAGACATTTTTTCTTCTCATTATAGCCAAGCAACTCTGAAATATATTATTTTCTATATACTAGAGTCTTCTTAACATTCTCTTCATCTTGGCTTCTTCTCTGCCATGTGGAATTCTCATCATTAATTATGACTCATAATATTAAAAATATTCCCTTTGGCTGGGCGCGGTGGCTCATGCCTATTATCCCAGCACTTTGAGAGGCCGATGTGGGTGGATGACCTGAGGTCAGGAGTTCGAGACCAGCCTGGCCAACATGGTGAAACCCTGTCACTACTAAAAATACAAAAAATAGCTGGGCATGGTGGTGGGTGCCTGTAATCCCAGCTACTTGGGAGGCTGAGGCAAGAGAATCACTTGAACCCAGGAGGTGGAGGTTCTGGAGGTTGCAGTGAGCCTACATCGTGCCACTGCACTCCAGCCTGGGCAACAGAGGGAGACTCCATCTCCACAGAAAAAAAAAAAAGAAAAATACCCTTTGTTGCTGGTGCTGGTGCACATGGAAATGTATGGATACCCAAGATTCCTACTGGGGAAGAGGTAGGGTTCTTAGATATTCATGAAAAAGGGGAATACGTAATGTTGAAGTTCTGTCTGTGTGCTCCATCAACTCCATGTGGAACAGGATTAAAATATGCACATTTGAACAGGGTGGTATTTATTACCCAGAATAATTCAGAAAGTTTTGAAAAAAATAATTAGAAGATACTCGCTTTCTAGAACGCTGAAGAAAGTCTGCGTAAATACTTTAATAGAGATTACACAACATGAGCGATTACTGTAGTTTGCATTTTGCACAAAACTTGTTTCTTTATGGTTAGATTTGAATTATAATTTGCTTCTTTGGCGGGGGCCAGTATCACAGCAGTGATATTGTGTCCTTCTGTGAGCATCAGCGCATGATGAAAATTTGTTCTGTTATAATTGGTGTTAATTTGATTCATTTAGTTAAATAGTTCTCTGAGAATTTTTTTCCACTGTAGAGTTATTTTTCTCTTTATTATTGAGTACCTTGGGGACATTTACCAGCTGATGTGAATAAAGCATCCCATGTAATCTGGAAGTTCTCTTTCCTTCTTAGATTGTCTTTGCATATGTCTTTCTTTAAAAAGTGAAGTCTCTCATCTTTGTTTACTGGTCATAAAAACCCAGGCTCTGTCACTTAATGAATGTTTGACAAAATATTTATCTTGGGCCAGAAAGATTGGTGTCACTTGTGAGCTTGTTAGAAATTCAGAAACTCAGGTTTTACCTCAGGTTTCTTGAAACAAAATCTGCATAAAAAGATCTCCAGTTTACTGTTGTACACATTAAAATTTGAGAGGTACTTTATAACTAAGCCTGACTTTTTAATCTGAGAAATATGCAGAACTTATACTGTGTATGATTAAATGGAGCACTAAAAAATGTACATGTCTATGTTCCTGTTGTTAATTTTGTACTTTATCATTCAAAAAATATCATCAATACACTACACTGGTATTGTGAATCTTATGCTCTCTTTTATTAGAGATAGAGAATACAACAGAGAATATTTCTTTGTTGGGAATTATTTTATAGGACAATTTCAGTCATATCAGTCAGAATCAGTTCTCTTCACTCATTTTATCTTGAGTCAATTTAAGAATTCTGCCCATGGCCACTTGAAGTAGGTGTGTGTGTGTTTTCAGGGACTGTTGACATTCAGGGATGTAGCCATAGAATTCTGTCTGGAGGAGTGTCAATACCTGGATGCTGCTCAGCAGAATTTGTATATGGATGTGATGTTACAGAACTACAGAAACCCTGTCTTCTTGGTTGAGAATAACTTCAATATAGAATTCCTAATTTACCCTAAAGGTTTCATTTTCTTCCTTTGTAGGATGTGTTTTGGTAATTTCTGCTTTGCATGAGTAAATTTCAGATCCCTGTTTTCAAGACAATCTTGCAGATTTTTTGGTGTGGAAAATAAATTCTTCAGGTTGTTTCATTTTGACCTGAATTTTCCCCCTTCCTGAGTTTATCTATATTATTCACTATAGATAAGTGGTAATTTCAGAAATTTAGTGACATAAAATAATGTTGTCCACACCTTAAAATTCAATTGCCACCACCAATTTTTGATTCAGTAATACTGGGGAGTGAAACAGAGGACCCTCATATTTAATGTACTTTCTGAATACGCTAAAGGTTCTGTCAGTAAAAAGTATTTTGGAATTAATTTTCTAGAATCTTGTATTATGTCCTCTTTTCTCTACTTAGCACAGTATTAGGTTGGTAAATGGAGAATCCCAGGAAAAGTCATGCTCATGATGCTTTTTAAAATAAAACAGGTATTGTCTTCTCTAAGCCAGACCTGGTCACCTGTCTGGAGCAAAGAAAAAAGCCATGGAGTATGAAGCACCCAGGTAGGTGAAAGCGAATGAAGAAGAGGATGACATAGATGAGGCATCCAAAGGCCGAGAGGAACCCGGACTTTTACATGTGATTTGGGAAGCTGTGCTCCAGTGGAAATCCTTTCTGAGAAGCCTGGGTTTTTTCACTTGTTCTCACATAGGGGCATCCTCTGTCCCATGCTCTCTAATGACTCTACATTTTCTTCAATAATTTTTCTTCAGATTTGCAGTGAGAGCCAAAGTTCTCTTTATGGCTTATAAAACAGTGCACAATCTGACTACTTTTATTGCTTTTGGGGTTATACAAATAGCTGCATATTTTTTAGAAACCCTGTGTTTAACCATTTTTAAGTTCTCTTTCTGCATTGTGTCTGAAATATGTAAAAGTAGTGATATTGAGATTTGGTTCAGAAATCCCAGAAATACAACACACATATGTTGTATGTTTTCTGCTTTATAGTTTCTTATTTTATGGAGGTTTCAAATGTGTTTCTACAGAAATTCATACTTGGTAATTTAATCAGAATATTAAGTATCTCTTTAAGAATATCTAATGTTATTTGAATTGAAATTTTTATTCTTTTAGTACTAACTGAGGTTGGTAATTTCAATTCTGTCTTAATTTCTCAACTGTAATATAACGTAGATATTTCCTACATTTCTACAATTCACTATGTCAGGGAACTTAGAACATTATTGAGCATATGTTAAGCTCCCACTTCTTTCCTTGTTTTTTAAATTACTATTTTGTAATTTTATCTTGTTCAGGATAAAGTTTACCAGAACTGTAATTTATATGTGTGTATATATATGTAGGTGTGTATTGTGGATTTTTTTACAAATAAAAATTGTATATATATTTATTGTGTACAATGTAATTACTTACTGCATGTGTATATTGTAAAATGATTAGCACAATTATGTTTCTGAGCATTTTTATCACCTTTCCTCACATAGGTACCTTTTTTGTAATGAAAACATCTAAGATCTGCTGACACCTAATTTTAAGCATACAAAAATTTAGTGTTAACTGTATCATGAAGCTATACATTACATTTGAAAAACTTACTCATAACAGAAAATTTATGTCTTTTCAATATCTTTTCATTTTCTCCCATATCTAGTCCCTGACAACTTCCATTGTAGTCTCTGCTTCTGTGAGTTCAGCTTTCTTAGATTCCCCATATAAGTGAGAATGTGCAGTATTTCTCTTTCTATGTCTGGCTTATTTCCCTTGGCATAATGTCTTCCAGTTTTACCCATGTTGTTGAAATGGCAAGATTTTGTTATTTTTCAGGCTAAATAATATTCTATTGTTTATTTATACCAGCTTTTCTTTATTCAGCATCCACAAACATTTAGGTTTTTTATATCTTGGCAATTGTGAATAATGCTGCAACAAATATGGTGGTACAGATATGTCTTCAAGTTACTTATTTCATTTCCTTTTGTTATATACACAGTATTATATGCACAATACTACTATTGCTAGATTGTGTAGTAGTTCTGTATTTCAGATAACCTCTATTGGTTTTTGTAATGACTCCATCAATTTATAACTCTCCAAGAATGTACAGAATTATTTTTCTTCAAAGTGTTGTCAACACTTGTTATGTTTCTTCTTTTTACATTATCCATTCTAACATGTTTGAAATGATACTCATCATGGTTTTGATTTGCAATTGCCTGATATTTGGTGATATTGAGTACTTTATGGCTTATCTGTTGGCCATTTGTATGTCTTCATTGGACAAATATCAGTTTAGTGTTTTGCCTATTTTGAACTGCGTTACTGTTGTTTTTGCTTTCAATCTGCTTGCATTTCTTATATATTTTGTATATCAATCTTTTATCAGATGTATGGTTTGCAAATATTTTTTCCCATTCTACAAATTTTTTTTATTTTATTGTTCTCTTTTCTGTGCAGAAGGTTTTTAGTCTGATGCAGTCCAGCTTGTTTATATTTGCTTTTGTTGCTGTAATTTTGGTATTATGTCTAACAAATTATTGTTAAGACCATATCATGAGGGTTTTCCATGTATTTTTTTCAGGTTTTTTAAGGATTCATGTTTAAGTCTGTAATTTAACTTTTAGCATGGTGTAAGAAAAATAAGCTAATTTTATTCTTTTGCCTGGAGGTATCCAGTTTTTTTCAGAACCAAATATTAAAAAGACTATACTTTGTTCATTGTGTATTTTTGGTGCACTTGTCAAAGATTAGTAAACTTTATATGCCTGGGTTTATTTCTGGGCTCTATTCTGTTCTATTGGTTTATTGTGTCCATATTTTGCATGTATCATCTTGTTTTTTTACTACAATCTTAAAATATAGTTTGAAATCATAAAGTATGAAGTTTGGTTGCTTTGTCCCTTTTCCTCTAGATTGCTTTGGTTTTTCAAAGCCTATCGTAGTTTCATGTAAATTTTAGAATTGTAATTTCCATTACTGTGAAAAATGTCACTGGATTTTTAATAGAGAGTTCATTGAAACTAGATCACTTTGAATCATATGGCTCTTTATAATATTTATTCTTCCAGTTCATAAACTTGAAATCTTTTTTGCATTTATTTGTGACTTCTTCCATTTCTTTCATCAATATATGTTTCAGTGAAAAGATCTTTTGCCTTCTTTGTTAAATTTATTTTTCAGAAACTTATTATTTTAATTCTATTGGAAATGAGATTGTTTTCTTCTTTTTTATCAGATGGTTTGTTGTTAGCATATGGAATCATAACTGATAATTATATGTTAATGTTATATATTGCTAATTTTCTGAGGGCATTTGTTATTTTTTGATGTATTGTTTATGGTTTTCTATATATAAGATCATGTCACCTACAAACAGCAACATTTTAATTTTTTTCCTCAATTTGAATGTCATTTTTAGGGTCATTTTCTTGACTAATTCTTCTGCAAAGTACTTTCACTGCTATGTTAAAATAGAAACATTGACAATGGAACCATGTAGCCTTACCCCGGTGTCTATAAATTTGAAGAAGCAAACAGCTCTTTAATTTTTTATAAACTGGTTTCAGGAGGTACAGATCTTCTTTTGTTGGGTACCCAGGGTAATGGGATGCCCTATGAGCTTGTAGTAGGGAAGAGTTTATAACTGTGTCACAAGGCTGCTGGGTATGCAGTGGATTCAACCTTCAAGTGGCTTTTTACCAGGGGCTTTGGTTGTTGTGATTCCCATCTAATGTCTGGGTGGGCTGGATTTCCTTCAGGACTTTTATTTATAGTGCAGAAACTAGGACAGATTTCTGCAATTGGTTGTGCATATGGTGGACCTTATATCGGGATGTGGTAAGTGTGGCTACCACTGAGTATTTGGAAGTTTTTTTCCACATCACTGTGTGGGTTCCTGTGTTGGCAGGAATTGTTGTGAACTGTGGCAAAGACAGCTGAAACTGAGTCACTGAACTCCTTCAGCGGCCACAGTAGAGGCCAAGGTCTGCAGGCCACAGTAGAGGCCCAGCTGGAGTGCAGTGGCACAATCTTTGCTCACTGCAACCTCCGCCTCTCAGGTTCAAGCAATTCTCCTGCCTCGGCCTCCCGAGTAGCTGGGATTATAGGTGCCTGCCACCATGCCCAGCTAATTTTTTTGTGTTTTTAGTAGAGATGGGATTTCACCATATTGGCCAGGCTGATCTCTACCTCCTGACCTCAGGTGATCCGCCTGCCTCGGCCTCCCAAAGTTCTGGGATTACAGGAGTGAGCCACCACGCCCAGCCTTCTTGGCTGATTTTCAACAGTTGTCTTATTATGTGAAGGTGAGTAGTCATAGAAACAGTGGTATATTCACTAGGTGTTTAATGATAAATATATATATTTTCTTTGTGTGAGAGAAACACTTTAGTGATTTGAAGGTGATTTATGTTTATATATTTATATATTTTATGATTTATAGAAAGACCTATATCACTTTTAGTTGTTTTCCAAAAAAATGTGAAAACACATAACATAAAATTTACCATCTTAAAGCTTTTTAAGTCTATATTTCAGTGCTGAGTGTGGTGGAGGCTCATGCTTATAATGCCCGTACTTTGGGAAACTGAGGCAGAAGTATTGCTTAAGCCGAGGAACTTGAGACCAGCCTGGGCAGCATATAGAGAGCCCTTCCCCACAAAAATTTAAAATTAGCCAGGTGTTGGGTTGTCCCCCTGTGGTCCTAGCTCCTTGTGAGGCCGTGGCAGGAGAATCACTTGTGCATGGGAGGTTGAGGCTGCAGTGAGCTATGATTATATGACTTCATTCCAGCCTGCAGGACAGAGTGAGAACCTACCTCAAAAAAGGTGTACATTTTAGTCGTTAAGAGTATTTACATTGTTATGTAAAGACCTCTAGAAATTTTACGTCTTCTAAAATTAAGACAATACCCATTAAGTAACAACTGCCCATTTTACCCTCTCTTTAGACCTTGAGTAACACCATTCTCCTTTCTGTTTCTATTTGACTACTTATGATGACTCATATCATGGAATCATATAGTATCTGTCACTTTATTACTATCTTATTTCAGTTGACATAATATTCTCAACGTTTATGTAAGAATGTGACAGATTTACTATTTTAAGGCTGAATAATATTCCACTGTATGTATATGTCACATTTTTAATTTGTTTATCAGTCAAGGGATATCTGAGTTACTTCTGCTTTTTGGCTTTTGTAAATATTGGTATAATATATTTATATATAGTATATATATAAATATATGTGTATATATTTATATATAATATATTGGTATAATAAATATACCAATATTTATATTTTAATATATATAAAATAATTTATTTATATAATATATATTTATTTAATATATATTATATTAATATATAAAATATATAAATATTGGTATAATATATTTAATATATATTATATTAATATATATTAAATATATAAATATTGGTATATTTATTATACCAATATTTGAAATATATATTCAAATATATCTTCCACATTCTTTGTTTGAATATAGATTTATATTTGGAGTATACATTTATATTTATGTTTGAATATAGATTTATAAGTGGAATTCTTGGATTCAATTTATATATATATTAATATATAAAAATGTATTTTATATTCCAGTCAAATAATATGATTTATATTTGAATCTAGGTTTATAAGTGGAATTATATAATTTAAATTTTAAGAAACATTCATAATATGATGGTTGCATCCTTTTTCCCCACCAACAATTCACATGAGTTTTAATTTCTTTACATCCTCAACAGATTCAGCATTTTAAAAATTTATCATGGCCATTCTAATGGGTATGAGGTGGTTTTGTTTTGGATTGTAATTTTGTTTTGTATTTCTCTACAATTGGTACTTTTTTTTGCATTTTAAGTGCTTTTTTCTACTTACATATATATTTTTGATTAAACATCAGTTCAATTCTTTGTCCATTTCTAAATCAATTTATTCATTGTTAGTTTTTCAGTTTTAGTTGTTTATAATTCTGAATATTAACTCATCACATGTAATTTGCGAATATTTTCACCCATTTCTTCAGTGGCATTGTCATTCTACTAAATATTTTATTTGGTGTGCAGAAAATTTGAAGTTTAGCACAGTTAAATTTTGGGGGTTTTTATGTTTTTCATAAGTATGATGTCATATCTACAAAAAAGTGCCAAAACCAGTGTTCTGTATTTTCCCTATTTTTTTCTTCTAAGAGTTGTATTAGTTATATGCTTTTTAGTTTCATTATTTTATTTAAAATGTGCAAGAAAATAATCCAACTTTATTTTTTTCAGTGTAGATACTCAGTTTTCAGCATCATTTGTTGAAGATATTTTCTTTTCTCTATTGTGTAGTCATGGCAACTTTGTGGAAGATTATTTGATTATATAAAGAAGGGTTCATTTCTGGGCTATTTTGTTCTATCATCTGTTTATTTGTCTCTGTTAGTACCACATTGCTTTTGTTTATTATAGCTTTTTAATGTATTTTGAAATCAGGAAATATAATGCCTCTTTGTTCTTTCTCATGGGTGTTTGGATAGTTTTAGCTCATAATCAATTTAAAAAGTTTTTTGGTTTTTTTTTTTTTTTTTTTTGAGACGGAGTCTTGCTCTGTCGCCCAGGCCGGACTGCGGACTGCAGTTGGCGCAATCTCAGCTCACTGCAAGCTCCGCTTCCCGGGTTCACGCCATTCTCCTGCCTCAGCCTCCCGAGTAGCTGGGACTACAGGCGCCCGCCACCGCTCCCGGCTAATTTTTTGTATTTTTAGTAGAGACGGGGTTTCACCTTGTTAGCCAGGATGGTCTCGATCTTCTGACCTCATGATCCACCTGCCTCGGCCTCCCAAAGTGAATTTAAAAAGTTTTAATCAATATTTCTGGTCAACAATGTACCATTGGAATTTCTTCACCACCGTGAGTTGTTTTCACATTTAGATTAAATTATCTGGACCTTGAGCAAGAATATATTAAAGAGTGTGTTTTATTTCCATATATTTTTGAATTTGCCAGTTTATCTCTTGATTTTGATGTCTAGTTTCATTTTATTTTAGTCAGAAAACATAACTGTATAATTTTGGTCATCTTAAATTTATTTATTTATTTTTGTTGCTATTGAGAGACAGATTCTCACTGTGCCACTCAGGCTGGAGTGCAGTGGTACAATCTTGGCTCACTGCAGCCTCAACCTCCGAGGCTCAAATAATCCTCCCACCTCAGCATCCCAAGTAGTTGGGACTACATATGTGTGCTTTCACGCCTGGCTAGTTTTTTGATTTTTTTGTAGAAATGCAGGTTCTCACTATATTGCCCAGGCTGGTTTTGAAATCCTGGTCTCAAGGGGTCTTTCCTCCCAAAGTGCTGGGGGCTACAGGCCTGCGCCACCACACCTGGCCAGGCTTCTTAAACTTAATAAGACTTGTTATGTGTCCTAACAGAATGCACCAAGTTCAAACAAGAATATTGTGTAATCTGTTCCTTTTTACTGGAGAGTCCTGTACATATTTTTAATGTGTAGTTGGCCTATGATATGATTTGGATGTTTGTACCCTTCAAATCTCATGTTGAAATGGGATTCCCAATGTAGGATGTGGATCCTTGTGTGATGTGTTTGGGTCATGGGAGCAAATCTCTTGTAAATGACTTCGCACCATCCCCTTGGTGATCAATAAGTTCTCACTCTGTTAATTCACGTGAGAGCTGCGTGTTTAAAGAACCTGGCACTTTCCTTTCACACTTGCTCCCTCTCTCCCCATGCAATATGTCTGGTTTCTCTTTGCCTTCACCATGATTGTAAGCTTACTTAGACCCTCACCAGATGCAGATGCTGGCACCACACTTATTGTACATTTTGCATAACTATGAAGAAAATAAATCTTTTTTATTTATAAATTACACAGTCTTAGGTACTTATTGCAATACAAAATGAATTAATACAATTTATAATGTCATCCAGGTTTTCTTCTCTTATTGATGTTTTATCTAAACTTTCACTCATTATTAAAGTGGGGTCTTAATGTCTGTAATTATTATGTTGCTATGTATTTTTTGCTTCACTTCTGTCAATATTAGCTTTATATATTTTGGAACCCTGATCTTTTAAATAGATATAATAGTTATAGATTCCTGGTAAATGACCAATGTTACCATTATATAGTAACAATCTTTACCTCATGCTAGTTTTTGATTTACAGCATATTTTGTCGAATATAATTTATGACCACCTCACTTAATTGTGGATACTGTTTGCATGGAATATGTTTTTTCATTCTGTTTCTTTCAACCTATTTGACTCAAAGTTAAAGTGAGTCTCTTGAAATCCTGGTCTCAAGCAATCTTCCAGTCCTGGCCTCCCAAAGTGCTGGGGCTACAGGCATGAGCCACCACACCTGATTAGTCTTCTTAAACTTAATAAGGCTTGTTATGTGTCCTAACAGAGTACACCATGTTCGAACAAGAATATTGTGTGATTTGTTGCATATTGTGTGATTTTGTTTGTTCTTATTCCATTGGGCCATTTAATTTCTTATTATTAGTTTAATCAATTTACATTTAAAATGATTCCATAGAGAAATGAAGTTACTATTACCATTTTGATTGTTATTATTTTCTGTGTTTCTTGTAGAGATGTTTTCCATAATTTCCTATTTTACTGTCTTAATTTTTGCTTTTTTCAGTTTGTAGTGTTATGCTTTGTTTCCTTTCTCATTTTGTATTGCATACTTTCTATAAACTTGTAATTATCTAGGTAATTGGAGATTATGTAAAACATTTTAAAGTTATAACAATATTAGTATGTCATAACTTCAGTTGAATACAAAAACTATACCTCTTTACATCCTGTAGTGGGTTTTTTGTTTGTTTGTTTTGTTTTGTTTTTGAGATGGAGTCTCGCTCTGTCACCCAGGCTGGAGAGCAGTGGTGTGATCTGGGCTCACTTCAACCTCCTCCTCCCCGGTTCAAGCAATGCTCTGCCTCAGCCTCTCAAGTAGCTGAGATTACAGACACCCACCCCCACGACCGGCTAATTTTTCGTATTTTTAGTAGAGATGGGGTTTCACCATCTTAGCCAAGCTGGTCTTGAACTCCTGACTTCTTGATCCACCCATCTCGTCCTCCCAAAGTGCTGGGATTACAGGCATGAGCCATTGTGCCCAGGCTTACATCCTGTAGTCTTTCATTATTACAAATATTATTTTATATTGGGTATCTATTAACAGATTTATGCAGATTTTTTGTTGAAATTCTATAGCAGAATTTTAAGAGATTTTGCTTAATGATTATGGTAGTAAACAATTGTATATGTGTTTATATATTTACATTTAACAGAAAGTTTATAGTTTCATGTAGTTTTTTAAGGTTGTTCAGCATCATTATATTTTTCAACATATGGACTCTTTTTGGCAATAAAAAAATAAACAGCATCTCACTATGTTACTCAGGCTCATCTTGAACTCTTAGCCTCAACTAATCTGCCTGCCTTGGCCTCCCAAGACTCTGGGATTACAGACATGAGCCACTGGTGCCTGGCCACCATGTAGCATTTCTTGTGGGACCATGCCTGTGGTGATAAATACCTTCACCCTTTGTTTATTTTGTAAGTTCTTTATTGTTTCCTTATTTTTAATTCCAGAATAATTCCAAATAATTTCAAAGCAAACAGTATTGATTGGTATTAGTTTTTCTTTTATCACATAAAAATTTGGAAAGTTCTCATCCTCTTTTATCTTCAAATAGCCCCTCTAACTACTTTTTCCCTACATTCGTCTTCTAAGATTTCTTTTCCAAATGTAGTAATCTACTCAATGGTGTTCAGTAAGTTTAACATTCCATGTTTTCATTTTGTTTTGCAATTTTATTTTATTTCATTTTACTTTATTTTATTTTATTTTTTTTGAGACACAGTCTTGCTCTGTTGCCCAGACTGGAGTGCAGTGGCATGATCTGGGCTCACTGCAAGCTCTGCCTCCCAGGTTCATGCCATTCTCCTGCCTCAGCCTCCCTAGCAGCTGGGGCTACAGGTGCCCGCCACCATGCCCAGCTAATTTTTTGTATTTTTTAGTAGAGATGGGGTTTCACCGTGTTAGTCAGGATGGTCTCAATCTCCTGACCTCGTGATCCGCCCGCCTCAGCCTCCCAAAGTGCTGGGATTACAGGCATGAGCCACCATGCCCAGCCAATTTTATTTCTTTTTTGTTTCATATTTTAGAGTATGCCACGTCACATCAGTTAATTGTGTTTTTAGTTTTTATTTTTATGACAATTGTGAATGACAATATTCAACTCTGTACACTTTAAGACAGCGTGGAGCCAAAGTTACATATGAATCAGTCATATCTCTATTCCCAATATAATAATTTCTGTGTTTGTGTATACACATATTATTTCTGTATTGTTTATGACTTGTATGTTTGTGAGTGATCAATGGTTGTTTTATCTGAGTAGTCATAAAAATTCTCCTACTTCTAATATCTATTTGGGAATCTATTTTTGTGTGGGAGAAACACTTTTTTGATTTGAAGGTAATTTTAAAAACTGTCAATTTTGTCCCTTTTTTAAGGTATTATTACTGTTTACTTTTAATTATCAAGAACATAAAATTTAGAATCTTAATTTTAAAATATGTAGTTTATATTAATTATATTGACATTATTATACAATATATCTGTAGAATGTTTTTGTCTTGTAAAACTAAAACTGAATACACATTAAACAACTACTCAATTCTCCCATTTTCTGGCCCTTTACAAACAGTTCTGTTTTCCTGTTTTTGAGTCTAACTGCTTTAAATATCTCATGTAAGTGGATTCATACCATATTTTTTGTGGCTGACATATGTTATTCTGCATAATTTCATGAAAGTTTGTTATGGTTGTTAGAATATTTCCTTTTTTTTAGACGGAGTTTTGCCCTTGTTGCCCAGGCTGGGGTTCAGTGCAGCGATCTCAGCACACCACAATCTCCACCTCCCAAGTTCAAGCCATTCTCCTTCCTCAGCCTCCTGAGAGGAGGCTGGGATTACAGGCATGCACCACCATGCCCGGCTAATTTTTGTAAGTAGAGATGGGGTTTTTCCATGTTGGTGAGGCTGGTCTCGAACTCCCAAACTCAGGTGATTCACCCACCTCGGCCTCCCAATGTGCTGGGATCACAGGTGTGAGCCAGTGTGCCTGGCCTGTATTTCCTGTTTTTAAACACTGAGTAATATTCCATTATTTTTATGTTTCAAATTATATTTATCCAGTAATCTGGGGAGAAAATTTTGCATTGCTTTCACCTATTGCCTTTCAATAACAATGCTGTAAAAATTATGAATGTGCAGCCGGGCACGGTGGCTCATGCCTGTAATCACAGCACTTTGGGAGGCCAAGGTGGGTGGATCATAAAGTCAAGAGATCGAGACCATCCTGGCTAACACGGTGAAACCCCATCTCCACTAAAAATAGCAAAAAATTAGCCAAGCGTGGTGGCGGGCACCTACAGTCCCAGCTACTTGGGAGGCTGAGGCAGGAGAATGGCATGAACCTGGGAGGCAGAGGTTGCAGTGAGCCTAGATTGTGCCACTGCACTCCAGCCTGGGCAACAGAGCGAGTCTCCATCTAAAAAAAAAAAATTATGGACGTGCAAATAACTCTTCCTGTGATTATATGTGTGAGAGTTTATATTTATACTACATTCTCTTTATTTGGTGTAGTTCACTTTTTATAACCAAACCAAATTGTTTTAAGTCTATATAATGTGTTTTGAAATCAGGGAGTTGTGATGCCTCCAACGTTGTACCTCTCTTTGAAGATTATTGGGTGTTTCATTGTTTCTTAAAATTTCATATAATTTGGGGGTTGCTTTTTCTATTTCTGCTAAAATAAAATTAGATATTTGAAAGGGATTGCATTAAATCTGTAGATTACACTCAGCAGTATGGGCATCTTCACAATATTAATTATTTTACCCTTTGATCATGCTGAATATTAATTATTTTACCCTTTGAGCATGCTGAAGAGTGTGTTGTTTAATTTTCATGTATTTGTAAATTTTTTAGTTTTGTTTTTGTTGATTTCTACTCTCATTCCATTTTGGTCATAAAAAGTAATCTATCAATTTCAATTTTTAAAGATTTAATAAGTTTGTATTTTTATCATGGCCTAACAGGCAGTTTATCAAAGAGAATGTATGTGAACTATTGAGAATGGTTATACCCTGCTATTGTTAAGGGGTATTCTTTGTTAGGCATAATATTGTTTTATACTTCTTTCTTTGTATATTTTTTCTCTTTGAGATGGAGTCTTGCTCAGTCACCGAGGCTGGATTGCAGTGCCGCAATCTCGACTCACTGCAAACCCCGCCTCCCTGGTTCAAGCAATTCTCCTGCCTTAGCCTCCTGAGTAGCTGGGATTACAGGCGCCTGCTACTGCACCTGGCTATTTTTAGTAGAGATGGGGTTTTGCCATGTTGGCCAGGCTGGTCTCAAACTCCTTACCTCAGGTAATCTGTCTTCCTTGGCCTCCCAAAGTGCTGGAATTACAAGCATGAGCCACTTGTTCCCATCTGTACTGCTTTCAGTTTCTCTTTTCCTTTTTTTTTTTTTTTTTTGAGACAGAGTCTTGCTCTCACCCAGGCTGGAGTACAGTGGTGGGATCTCGTCTCACTGCAAGCTCCACCTCCTGGGTTCTTGCCATTCTCCTGCCTCAGCCTCCTGAGTGCCTGGGATTACAGGCACCTGCCACCACGCCCTGCTAATTTTTTGTATTTTTAGTAGAGACCGGGTTTCATCGTGTTAGCCAGGATGGTCTCCATCTCCTGACCCCGTGATCGCCTGCCTTGGCCTCCCAAAGTGCTGGGATTACAGGCGTGAGCCACCATACCTGGCCCTCTTTTCCATTATTAATATTGTTTTGTTTTATTGTTCATTGCAGAAATTGAAGTATTAAAATATCTTATTATAATTATATTGCTCTTTATTTGTTGCTTTAATTTTGTCAATTTTTGCTTTGTATTTTTGGAAACCTAATGTGAGAAATACACATACACACACAAACATATAAATATATGTATGCACATATTTGTCATACATTTTCAATAAATGATATCTTTATTATTGTTTAATGACCTTTTTTCTCTTGTGAATTTTGACATAGAGTATATTTTATAAAATAAGAGAGTTGTTGACTTATGATATATTTTGTATAATACAATTTTGATCTCTTCTGCTCTCATTTGGTTAATGTTTGCCTAAAATGTCTTCTTCCACTTACCACTTTCAGGCTGATTTCACTACTAGATCTCAAGTGACTCTTGAAGAAAGGCAAGTTGGATCTTGGTATATAAAATTTTATATAATCCCACTATTCAATGTATGTGTATTGATTGGCAAGTCTATTTTTAAAATATTTATTTTCTGAAGACAAAGATTATTATTATTTATTTTATTGTTTAATGATTCTTATAGGTCTGTTTCTCATTCTATCTTCCTTTGTGTCTTTTTGATTTTTGTATGGATAGGCTGTCACTTCTTTCTTATTTCCTTTTTTGTGCCTATACAGACATTTTATTTGTGGGCACCTTCAGGATTATATAAAAACCTCTTAAAATTTCAACAATATATTTTGAAGTGGTGAAATTTAAATTTGGGTCCATGCACAAATTATTTCTTATTACATCTGTCCTCAACTTAGTTATTGATGTCACTAAACATATCTATTTATGTTATATATTTATTAACAGATGTTCATTATTATTTTTAGCTTTTATCTTTAAATTTTAGAGAATAATTAAATAAAACATTTTTTGGTATTATAATAATGCTACAGGATATTTTTTCTATAATATTTGCATATCTTTATATCTTTCCTAGAAAGCTACCTATTTTTATATGATAGTTTTGTTTTTTAGCATCATATAGTTTTAGTAGGAGGACTCTTCTCAGCATTTTTTGTAGGGCACGTGTAGTGTTGATATAATTTTTCCACATTTGGTTATCTTTAGAGGTCTTTCCTTTTTCTTCATTTTTGTAGCACAGTTTTGCTGGTTATATTATTCTTACATAGAAGCTATTTTTCGCTTGGCACCTCGACTATAGCACACAATTTCCTTCTGGCCTGCAAGGTTTTTGTTGAAAGAGTCACTAGTTATATCATAGAACCATAATTATGTATTTTCCAGCATTTGAGATTCTCTTCTTGTCTGTGACTTTGGGAACTTTGCTTTGCATGTCTTGTTATGGATCTGTGTGTTTCCTAGTTTTAGTATGTTGAGCTTCTTCATTTTTACAACCTTATTTTCTTACTTTTGAGAATTTCTCAGGTATTCTTAATTTTTTGAGACAGTGTCTTGCTCTGTCACCCAGGTTTGAGTACAGTGGCATGATTGCAGCTTACTGCAGCCTTGGGTTCCCTAGGCTTATGTGATCCTCCTACCTCAGCCTCCTGTTTACTGGGACCACAAGTGTGTGCCAATACACCTGACTAATTTTAATTTTTATAGAGGAGAAGTATTGCCATGTTTCCCAGTTTAAACTTGAACTCCCTAGGTTCAAGTGATCTGCCTGCCTCAAACTCCCAAAGTGCTGGGACTACAGACATGAGCCACTACACCTGGCGTCAGTCATTATTTCTATTTCTATTTTCTACTTCCATAATTTCTATTATATTTTTCATCTTTTCCTTGATGTTCTATTTTTTTCTGATTTTATTTAGTTACCTGTGTTCCCATTTAGGTTAAATTTTTAAAATTAATGTGTACATCTTTATTTTCATGGTTGTTTTCTGACAGTTTTAAGTTTTTTTTTTTTTTTTACTTAGGCCATGTCACTGTAATATTTTGTATGTATTGTACTCTTTGGTTGAGATTTGGACATTAACAAACAGCTACCTCTCACAATCTTTATAATGTGGTGTTGTCCTAACATAATCTGAAACCAGTTGTCTCAACTAGAGATTCTGGGAGCCTATCAAATATGTTATGATGTGTCTTGTGTGGAATTTTGTGTTGATTATTCAGTTAAAGAGGTTTGTCTGTGTTTCTTAACAGTCTGTAATTACTTCCTATACATATTGCATGTCTGTGGTACTGTAGTTTGTTGCTGTAACATTTACCTTTGGTCTCAGCAGACTCAAGCTGTTATTTCAAAGTATACCATCATTTCTTTCAGCACATTTTGTCACTGGAGACAGAAACAAGTCTCTGTAAAAGTGCCCAGAAGCCAGAAGTAAAAATACATGAGCCAGTTTTTTCTTTTTCTATATTGAGGAAGATGCCAGGCATTGCAGTTTACTTCTAAAAGTGCCATGCTGCATTATGGAGGAGTAAAGGTGTTGGGCAAATGTAACAAGCTTTTCTATCCATTCAGTATGGCTTGTGGCATTTTGCTCACCTGGTACACTGAACACACTTAACTCATTTCTAGATTTTCCATAAAGACATTTTGGTCAGTACAGTTTTGTTATAAGTCTATAAAAGAATTAAGACCTGTGGTATTTTTGTTATGCCATGTTGCTAATGTACTTTGTATAATTTTATGTATTAGATTTGTAAACAATAGATTTGTATATTTACATGGGCCTAGTGAGATAATTTGTTATTTTAATTTCTTTCAGCTGTGTTCTCATTTCACCCAAGACCTTTGGCTAGATCAGAACACAAAAAATTCATTTCAAAAAGTGATGCTGAGAAGATATGGGAAATGCAGACATGAGAATTTACAAATAAGAAAAGGCTGTAAAAGTTTGAATGCATCTAAGGTGCAGGAAGGAGGTTATAATGGACTTAACCAATGTTTGTCGATTACTCAGAGCAAAATACTTCAATGTAATACATTTGTGAAAGTCTTAAGGAAATTTTCAAATTCAAATAGACTTAGGAGAAGACATACTGGAGAGAAACCTTTCAAATGTAAAGAATGTGGCCAATTCTTTCACAGGTTCTCACACCTAAGACAACATCAGATAATTCATACTGAAGAGAAACCCTACCAATGTGAAGAATATGGCAAAGATTTTAAGCAGTCTTCAGGTCTTACTATACATGAGAGAATTCATACTAAAGAGAGACCCTACAAGTGTGAAGAATGTGATAAAGCCTTTAAACAATCTTCAAGACTGAATAAACATAAGAAAATTTATATTGGAGATACAACCTACAAGTGTGAAGAAAGTGGCAAAGCTTTGAAGTAGTCTTCAAACCTGACTATACATAAGATTATTCATATGGGAGAGAAACCCTACAAATGTGATGAAAGTGGCAAAGCCTTTAGAAAATCCTCAAAACTGAAAGAACATAAAAGAATTCATACTTGAGAGAAACCCTATAAATGTGAAGAATGTGGCAAAGCTTTTTACTATTCCTCAGGCCTTACTCAACATAACATAGTTCATACTGGAGACAAACCCTACAAATGTAAAGATTGTGGCAAAATTTTTAAGTGGTCTTCGAACCTTACTATACATCAGAGAATTTATAGTGGAGAGAAACCCTACAAATGTGAAGAATGTGGCAAAGCCTTTAAACAATTCTCAAAACTGAATGAACATATGAGAGCTCATACTGGAGAGAAATTCTACAAATGTGAAGAATGTGGCAAAGCTTTTAAGCAACCTTCAGGCCTTACTCTACATAAGAGAATTCATACTGGAGAGAACCCTTACAAATTCAAAGAATGTGGTAAAGCCTTTTATTGGTTTTTAAGCTTTACTAAACATATGATAATTCATAGGGGAGAGAAACCCTACAAATGTCAAGAATGTGGCAAAGCTTTTAAGTGGTCTTCAAACCTTACTATACACAAGAGAATTCATATGGGAGAGAAACCCTGCAAATGTGAAGAATGTGGCAAAGCTTGTAAGCAGTCTTTGGGGCTTACTATACAAAAGAGAATTCATACTGAAGAGAAACCCTACAAATGTGAAGAATGTGGTAAAGCCTTTTACTGGTCCTTAAGCTTTACTGAATATGATAGTTCATACTGGAGAGAAGCACTAAGATGTCAAGAATGCATCAAAGCTTTTAAGGGTCTTCAAATCTTACTATATATAAGACAATTCATACTGGAGAGAAACCATACAATTGTGAAAAATGTGGCAAAGCGTTTTACTGTTCCTCAAACCTTATTCAAAATAATATAGTTCATGCTGAAGAGAAACACTACAAATGTCAAGAATGTGGCAAAGCTTTTAAGAAGTCTTTAGACCTTAATGTATATAAGATAATTCATAGTGGAGAGAAACCCTACAGATATGAAGAATGTGGCAAAGTCTTTAAACTATCCTCAAAACTGAATGAACATTAGATAAGTCATAGTGGAGAGGAATCCTACAAATGTGAAGAATGTGGCAAAGGCTTTTACTATTCCTCAAGCCTTACTAAGCATATGATAGTTCATACTGAAGAGAAACTGTACAAATGTGAAGAATATGGCAAAGCTTTTAAGTGGTCCTCTGAGCTTACTATACATCAGAGAATTCATACTGAAGAGAAACCCTATAAATGTGAAGAATGTGTCAGAGTCTTTAAACACTCCTCAAAACTGAATGAACATAAGAGAAATCATACTGGAGAGAAAACCTACAAATGTGAAGCATGTGGCAAAGCTTTTTAAGCAGTCTTCAGGCCTCACTATACATAAGAGAATTCATACTGGAGAGGAATCCATAAATGTGAAGAATGTTGCAAAGCCTTTTACCGGTCCTTAAGCTTTACTAAACATAAGAGAGTTCATACTGGAGAGATACCCTACAAATGTCAAGAATGTGGCAAAACTTTTTCTTGTTGCTCAAGTTTACTCGACATAAGAGAGTTCATACTGAAGAGAAATCCCACAAATGTAAAGAATGTGGGAAAGCCTTTAACCAGTCCTTTAGCCTTACTAAACTTATGAGAATTCATACTGGAAAAAAATCATACAAATCAGAAGACCGTGGCAAAATCTTTTAAGTATTGCTCAAATATATCCAGCCATAATTCATACTAAAGATTATGCCTATGAATCTAAAAAAGTTTGGCAAAGCTTATGAATACACCTCAAACTTTCCTAAGCATTGGAGAAATATCAGTGAGAAACCTCAGAAAACTCAACAATGTGGCAAGGCCTTTAAATGGTTGTCACATCTTACTGTAGGTAAAATAATTGATAGTGGAGAAAATCTCTACAAACAAAGAATGTGTCAAAACTTCTAACATGCTTATACCTTATGGCACATAAAGGCGTTTATACTTGAAAAATTGTACAGAGTGTGGAAAAGCCACTTCTATTTGCTCACATCATAGTCAATATCAGGAAGTTCATACTTAATAAAATTATTATAAATGTAATTACTTTTGAAAGACCTTGGAAAATTTAAACCCTTAAAAAAGAGTACTCTGGAGACAAACATTACAAATATAAAGAGGGTTGTAACACCTTTACTTGCCCTATATAATGTACAGATTTTATGCTAGAAGAAAACTCTAAAGGAATTACTCAAACTTATTCAGCATCAGAGAATTTATGTTGAAGGAAACCATACAAATGTAATAAATGTGGAAAAACATTTGTTCAGAAACTACAGCTTAAAAAACACCATGCAGTTTATAATAAAAGATATTTTTGCAGATGGAATACATGTGTAAAAATATTTAGTCAAAATTAAGTCTTTGTAAACTTTAGAAAATTCACAGTAGGAAGAATTAAGGCACTGGCACTTAAGACGTTACACTAAATCAGAATGTTCTGTATAGAAAGTAATCCAAAGCTAAAACTGTTGGATAATTTATTTGTATATAAGTTTAAGAGGAGTGGAAGATTATTTTTTGGAGAGTTATAATTACATTCAAGGTATACGTTTTTCCTTGAAAAAAATGTAGATTTTTTGAAAAGCAAATAGTGAGGTAATTCAAGTGTAAAATTGCTTCATTCTGTTCCTTTTTTCCTGTTGTTTGTGTAAAAGCATGTCATCAATTTCTGTTGCATCAGAAATCTGAGAGATTCCTTTCTTATTAGGTAGGCATCATTCATTAACTTTTCCGTGGAAGAGTAAGGATATTAAAATGTAAGATGTATATTGAAAATCTAATTGGAGAGGCTCTTTATGGCTGACTTTTAACATTTTTCATGTGATACATGAGTTATGTGTTTAGAGTAATATTCTGCATTATAGTGAAAGGAAAACTTTGAGTTTTAGTAGTAAATTGTTTTACCAATTGTACTTTTATGTAATAAAATGTAGGGAATTTTAAAATTCTTTTATAAGACTGTGATAACTTAGCTTTTAAATTAAAGGGAATAGTTTTAAACTTTTTAAGACCTGAATTTAGTTAAGTGTTATGTCACCAACTTTAACGTGTCCCACCTTATTAAAGATGTAGATAAAAGATGGTAACATAGTAGAATGAGCTCTCTAGCAATCTCTTTTGCCTGTGGCATTAAACTGAAAAGTTTAAGAGTATTGTTTCAATGGGTAAAAATGTACATTTGTTTAACGTTTTAAATTTTTGTAAGAACATAGTATTGTTTACCTATTTATGGCATATATAGAATATTTTCATACAGGCATACAACTTGTAATCACATCAGAGTAAATGAGGTATTCATTACATAATGCATTTATTTTTTGTATTACAGACAATCCAATTAAACATTTTTGGTTATTTAAAAATGTACAAGTAAATTATTACTTGCTACAGAGGTTTTTTATGGTCATAATAATAATTACCTAGTAGTATAGTAAGAAATCTCACATTTCTAAGTCCTGAATGAATATTTTAAAATTTGGTCATATGTATTTTGAACAAGTGGCCTCTCTGCCTGTAAACTCATACAGACTGTTAGTTTTTTACTTACATGGTGCTAAATATATAAATATTTTACTCTTAATATAAACATTAGGTGTAAGAAATTTGTGGGGCAAGTAATTGTGTGAGTGTGAGTGTACCTATTTTCAGAAGACAAGAAATATTGGAACAAAATATCACTTTAATAAAGTGGACAAATCATTTACTAGAAGACCAGAAACCTCCATGATTTTGAATAATATCTGTATTCTCTGTATTTTATTTAATTAATTACTGTGAAGTCTTATGGATTGCGTTTCCAAATCTTTCCATGCAAATTCTTTCTTTCATGTACCTGGTACTCATGGTAGACTGATTTTTTTCATATTTTTTTGTGTTTATAATTTATTAAGTATTCATTATGTGAGTTGCTCAGGTATTCTAAGAATTTTCATAAAATTTACTAATGCACGCAAAATAATTTTTCAATGTTATTTCACAATGAGTGTATTAACTTATATTTCTTTTGTTGCTTTCTTTTTTCTTTTTTTTTTTTTTTTTGAGGTGGTGTCTCACTCTGTCACCCAGGCTAGAGTGCAGTGGTGGGATCTCAGCTCACTACAACCCTCACCTGCTGGGCTCAAGCAATTCTCTTGCCTCACCCTCCTAAGTAGCTGGGACTACAGGCATGTGCCACCATGCCCAGCTAAAGTTTTTGTATTTTTAGTACAGACTGTGTTTCACTATAATGGCCAGAGTGGCCTTGAACTCCTGACCTGGTGGTCCACCTGCCTTGGCCTCCCAAGGTGCTGGGATTACAGGCATGAGCCACTGCATCCGACCAACTTATATTTCATTTAGTTAGAACATCCCATTTTGTTATTTTAATTGGAGAAACCTGTGTAAGCTAAGTTTCCTTTATTATTGTTCCTTTTACTCTTTATAATTGACATAGGTGAATTTATTCATTCAGCCAATTTGTTTAGGTAAATGCTGGGGAGGCTTCATGAGTCATAAAGATATTTTGATATGTAAATGTAGCAAACACAATGCTTGCTGTGTA
Source organism: Homo sapiens (assembly GCF_000001405.40). NCBI lineage: Eukaryota > Metazoa > Chordata > Mammalia > Primates > Hominidae > Homo > Homo sapiens. The sequence goes on from NC_000018.10 coordinate 15,275,392, forward strand.
ATAGATGCACCATTATTGGCCACAAATATTTCTGCTGGAGTTAGTTTGTAGCTCCAAGTAAAGATAAAGAAATACACATGATGAAGAAATAAAATCGATTCTGTATATGGAGAGGACATTGTTCTTATGCTGCAAAATTGACTCTTTCTGAATTTAAAGAGACATTCTGATTATTTTCTGATTATCTTTAGTTTTGTTTGTGTGTCTACTTATGTTTATCCCAGCTGTGTATGCATCACAGCCCTTTTTTTTATTCTTTGTGTTATGGCTACATCTTTATTGCTGTTTGTTTTGTGCCATGTCACTTCACACAGTACTTTGTAGGTTCTGATGAAAGTTTGTCAATGTAACTTTCAGATCTGTTAATTGAGATAAAAGGCATGCAGTGTTCACAGGTGAGAGGAATAAATCAGTCAGAATTTCTTGTCTTTGTAAAACCAAACTTTTATTAAATTTTAACATAGTCTGTGTGTGGTGGCTCACACCTATAATCCCAGCACTTCGGGAGGCTGAGGTGGGAGAATCACTAGGTCAAGAAGTTGAGACCTTCCTGGCCCATATGGTGAAACCCCATCTCTACTAAAAATACAAAAATTAGCTGGGCATGGTGGCATGCACCTGTTGACCTAGCCATTCAGGAGGCTGAGGCAGGAGAATCACTTGAACCCAGGAGGCAGAGGTTGCAGTGAGCTGAGATTGCACAACTGCATTCCAGCCTGATGACAGAGCGAGACTTCATCTCAAAAAAAAAAAAAATTAACACAATGTGTGGAAAATATAAAATTAGTTAGAAGATATGTCTTAGAAATTAAACTTTTAGAAGAGTTAATGTTAAGTGGAGAATGTTAAATTTAATTTTTTATTACATACTTACAGCTCAACTTAAGTTTTCATTCAGAATCTTTTATTTTGGTGTGAATGTTAAACATTCGAAAATAATAGAATGACACTGTGGATTTCACATGTGAAATAATCTTTTTCATATTAATGTTAAAATCTTGAGGAATTTCTCACACTTGTATAATGTACTTTTTTATTGGTTGCAGTTTACAATTTAGAGGTTTCAGTCTTTGTCACCTAACTAGTCAACTCCTTGGTCATTTTATCTGGAAAAATTTTAAAGATCATGGCATCTTTTGAATTAAAAAATTTCTTCAGTGATCTGGGATGCAAACTTATTTACTCTCTTCAGAGTGGTTTAATCATGTGAAACACAGCAAGAACTGCCCTTTTTGTGTCTTCCCTATCATTACCACCAGCACCAGAAACTCCAGTTGTCCCAAGCTCAAAATAAAAGCCCTAAGGTACATTGGCTTCTCCAATGCTCTGTGCTGGGTGCCGAACATGGTGGTAAATATTAGAGTTCATATGGCCATGACTGACTAGGTGACAAAACAGCACAGAAACTATGTATCTTTCATACTATTCAGACAGGTTTATGACAAAAACACAGGTCAGAATTTGAAACATTGTCATTTTAATAGTTTTTATAAATATATTTTTAAATTCACAGATGAAATATGTATTTATTTTGTGAAATAGTATTTTGAAGTAAATATACATTGTCAATGCCTAATTTTAGCTAATTGTCAAATGCTTTGCCTCACATAGTTACTATTTTTGTGGTGAGAAGACAATATTTACTGTCAGTATTTTTTCAGAAATACAATACATGCATTATAATCTCTTGAACTTATTTTTCTTATCCAACTGTAATTATGTAATCAAGATATGTTTTGTAGAATCCACATGTGAGTGAAATCATGAGATATTAACCTTTCTGTGCCTTATTTCAACAACTATAGTGTCCTTTAGGTTTATCTTTGTGATTAAAAATAAGATTTTCTGTTGAAAATACAGTATTCAATTGTATATATATACCATAGTGTCTGTATTTCATCATTGGATGATGGACACATGTTGATTCTATGTTTTGGCTTCCGTAAAGTGTGCTGCAACAAACACAATTGCAGATGTCTGTTCATCAATCTAGTTTCATTTGTTTTGTGATAGATATCCAGTAGTTCAATTACATGTTAGAGTTTAATTGTTTTGCAAAATTTCTATTTTTCATAATGGCTGTTTTTATTTACATTGACACAAACAGTGTGAAAGCTCCTCTCTTTCTCTTTTTTCAAGTTTACCAACAATTTTTTAAACATTTTAACAGGAGTGAGTTTATATGTTAGAGTTGTTTTTGTTTGCCGTTCCTTGATGATAATTGACTTTGAGCCATATTCATCTGTCTGCCAAGCTATATGTATGTCTTTCTTTGAAAATTATTTATATAGATCTTTTGCTTATTTTTCATGGTTATTTGTTTTTTGTTGTATAGTCCTATGAGTTTCTTGTACATTTTTGATATTAACTGTTTTCACATGTGTAATTTGCAAATATTTTCTTCCATTTTTCAATTATGTCATTCTGCTGATTGTATCTGTTGGTGTGCAGCAGCTTCTTAATTTTAAGGAATCTGATTTGTCTATGTTCCCCTAAAATTTTGAGGTTAAATCCAAGAGTCACTGCCCAGACCAATGTTATGGGGCATTCATTCTATATTTCCTCATCTTAGTTTTAGATTTTCAGGTCTCATATTTAAGTATCTAATTTGAGTTAATTTTTATATATGGTGTGAGATGAAGGTCTGATTTTATTATTTTGTATGTGGATATATATTTTCTCAATATCATTTATAAAACAGACTGCTCTTTTTTTAAAAAAAATTGTCATCTTTATTTACAATCAGTTGTCTGTAAATACATGAATTTATTTCTGGTCTTTCTCTTTTGCTCTGTTGGCCTTTGTGTGCATTTTTATGTAAGTAACACTCTGTTTTGATTACTGTAGCTTGTTGGACATTTAAAAGTCAGGTAGAGTGATTCCTTCAGCCTTTTATTTTTCATTTTTTGCTGGATTTTCTTAGCTATTAAGGCCTTTTGTGGGGCAATATACATTTTAGATTTTTAAAAAAATTTCTGTGGAGAATTTAACTGGTATTTTAATAGAAGTTTTATTATATCTGTATATCAGTTTGTGTAATGCAGATATTTAACAATATTAATCATGCCCATTTATGAATTAGAATATCTTTTTGTTTGAATATTATTTTCTAACTTTTTTTTTAGATTATAATGTACAGATCTTTCACCCTTTTGGTTACATTCATTTCTAAGCATAGTTACTGCTGCAATTATTGTAGATGGGATTGTTTTTTGGTTTTATTTTCAGATACTTTATTGTTAGTGTATAGAAATGTTACTGAATTTTTTATATTGATTTTGTATCCTGCAAGTTTAATAAATTTGTTTATTCTAATAATTTTTTGTGAAGTCCTAGGTTTTTCTATACTTAAGATTATATCATCTGCAAGGAAAATATAATTTATCTTCTTCATTTTATTTAAGATTGCTTTGATTTTATTGAATAATTCTTCTGTCTTGGTCATTTTGTATTATGTTCAGTAAGATCAAAGAAATTGGGCTGGGTGTGGTGGCTCACACCTGTAATCCCAGCACTGTGGGAGGCAGAGGTGGATGCATCACGAGGTCAGGAGACCAAGACAATCCTGGCTAACAAGATGAAACCCCGTCTCTACTAAAAATACAAAAATTAGCCAGGCGTGGTGGCAGGCACCTGTAGTCCCAGCTACTCAGGAGGCTGAGGGAGGACAATGGTGTAAACCTGGGAGGCAGAGCTTGCAGTGAGCCAAAATTGCACGACTGCACTCCAGCCTAGGCAACAGAGTGAGACTCCGTCTCAAAAAAAAAAAAATGGATTGGAGAAATTGGACATCCTTGTCTTGTTCTAGCTCTTAGAGAAAAGTCTTAGTTTTTCCTTATTTAGTATGTTAGGTGTGCATCGTTTTTACATATGACATTAACTTGAATTGCATTTATTTTATAACTGGTTCAAGAGATTTATTATGAGGAGATATTGTTACACTTTCATTATGCATCTATTTGAATGTTACATTTGTGTCATCCAATCCCACAAAAATACAAAAGATACTTGCAGACTACTATAAATATCTCTGTGCACACCAACTAGAAAGTCTAGAGGAAATGAATAAACTCTTAGAAATATACAACCTCCCAAGATTGAATCAGGAATAAACAGAAGTCTTGAAGAAACCAAAAATGTGCAAACAAATTGAATTGGTGATAAAAAAAAAACCTACCAATTATAAAAAGTGCTAAACCAGATGCATTCACAGCATGATTTTATCATGTATACAAAAATGAGTTGGCTGTAATTCTACAGAAAGTATTCCAAAAAATCAAAGTGGGACTCCTTCTTAATTAATTCTATCATATAATATCAGTCTCATCTTGATATATTAATCAGGTAAAGACACAACAAAAAAAATTACAGGCCAATATCCCTGATGAATACAGACACAAACATTATTCATGAAATGCTTGCAAACTGAGTCAGGAAATCAAAGTTATTTCACTGCAACTATGTGGACATTATTCTGTGAATGCAGGAATGTTTTAACATGTGCAATCTATAAATGTGATTCAGCATATAAAAATAATTAACAAACAAAACCACATTACCTCAATAGATGTGGAAATAGCAATTAATAAAATGTAATATCTATTTTTGAAAAAAATTCTCAAAAAACTAGGCATTGAAGGAACATACCGCAAAATAATTACACCCATATAAGACAAATCCTCAGCCAACATCATACTGAACAGGTGAAAGATTAATGCATCCTTCCTAAAAATTGAAATAAGAAAAGAATGTGCACTTTCACCACTCCTATTCAACACAGTTCTGAAAGTTTTAGCCAGAACAATCAGGCAAGATAAAGAAAGAAAAAGCACTCAAATAACAAAAGAGGAAATCAACTTATCTGTCTTTACTGATGATATAATTTTCTACCTACTTCAAAGACTACTCGAAAAGACTCCTAAGCCTAATAAAAGACTTCAGCAAAATCTCAGCAACAACAACAAAAAGCAAAACAACATTCAAAAATGAGAAACATTTCTATACACCAGTAACACTTAAGCAGAGCAAAATTAAGAACACAATCCAGTTTACAATAGCCAGAAACAAAAAATAAAATAGTAATCCATTAAACAAAGGAGGTTAAATATCTCTACTAGAAGAACTACAAACCACTACTGAAAGAAATCAAACACAGTGCAAATAAATGGAATAGTATTTCATGCTAATGGATTAGAATTATTAAAAAGTTCATACTGCCCAAAGCAATTGACAGTTTATTTCTATTTCTATCAATCTACCAATGCCATTTTTTATAAAATTAGACAAAAAAACTATTCTAAAATTTATATGAAAACAAAAAAGCTCAAATAGCCAAGGCTATACTAAACAAAAAGAATAAACCTGGAGACATTATGTTACCAAACTTCAAACTTTACCACAAGCTACGGTAACCAATATAATATGGAAGCAGATACACACACACACACACCCCTATTGAATAGAAGAGAGAGCCCTGAAATGAAGCTGAACTCTTGCAATTAATTGATTTTTGACGGCACCAACAGAAACAAATGGAAAGAACTCCCTACCCAATAAAAGGTGCGGGAAAAACTGTTTAGTCATATGCAGAAGAGGAAAACTCGACCGCTACTTCTCATGATATAGAAAATTAACTCAAGACACATTAAAGACTTATCTGTAAGAGTTCAACCTATAAAAATCCTAGAAGAACACCTAGAAAATTCTCTCCTTGGCATTGGTCTCTGTAAAGAATTAATGACTACATCCTCAAAAGTGAAAGCAACAAAAATAAAAATTAAAAATTGTGACCTGCACAGCAAGAGAAACTATTAACAAAATAAACAGACAACCTATAGTATGGGCTAAAATATGTGTAAACTGCATACAATAAATAACTAATATATATGTTTTATAAGGAATTTAAGAAAAAATGTTGACAAAAAATGTGAACCTATACTTTTAAAAGAAAGACAAAAAAAGCAGCCAACAAACATGAAAAATTGATCAACATTTCTAATTATTAGAGAGATGTAAATCCAAACCACAATGTGATACCATCTCACCCCAGTCTAAATGGCTATCATGAAAAAGTAAAAAAAAAAAAAGATGTTAAAATTGTGTAGAAAAGAGAACCCTGATATACTCTTAGTGGGAATGCAAATTAGTTCAGCTCCTGTAGAATGCATTTTGGGGGTTTCTCAAAGGACTAAAACCAAAGTTACCATTTGACCCAGCAGCCTCACTACTGGGCATATACCCAAATACAAATAAATTACACCTGCACTCATATGCTTATTGCAGCACTAGTCACAATAGCAAAGACATGGAATGAAACCATGTGCTCATAAATTTTAAGATGGATTTTAAAAATTATGTAATTACACACCATCCAATACTATGCAGCCACTGAAGAAGAATCATGTAATACTCTTTGCAGCAACATGGATGCAGCTCAAGGTCATGATCCTAAGCAAATTAACACAGAACAGAAAACCAAATACTACATTTTCTCACTTATAAGTGGAAGCTAAAATTGGGTACACATGGAAGCAAAGATGAGAACAATAAACACTAAGGATTCCAAAATGGAGGGAGAAGGGGGTACAAGGGTTTAAAAGTACTTGTGATGTATAATGTACACTACTTGGGCAATGGGATTATTAATTGCCCAAACCTCAACGTCATGCAGTATACCTATGTTACAAATCTGCACGTGTATCCTTGAATCCAAAATAAAAATAATAAAATACTTTGTGATATAATGCCATGTTAGATTTCTCCAGTTTTGTTTAATGGTTGGAATTAAGGGTGGAAGACATAGAATTTTGTCCCCTTTAGACATAGGGGTGAATGTTTCTATAACAGGTCTCCTGACATCCTATAAGCGATTTTCTCTGAAAGCTCTTGGCCTTAGTCTTGGGTGTGCAGCTAAAATAAATGACTGTCCATCAAGCTTGTCCAACTCACGGCCTACAGGCTTCATGTGGCCCAGTATGGCTTTCAGTGCAGCCCTAAACAAGTTCATAAACTTTCTAAAAGCATTATGAGTTTTTGGTGATTTTTTTTATCATCATTGGTGTATTTTATGTATGGCTCAAGACAATTCTTCTAGTGTGTCCCAGGGAAGCCAGAAGATTGGACACCCCTGCTCTACATTTTTATTTTTCATCTATTTACAGTATGCTAGATGATAGTGTTAACTTATTACTCTTTGGGAAACAAAGATGGTCTGTGGTTTAGTTTTTTTAGAACCATTTTTGAAAATATGAAGCTATGATAATCATACCTAAGTGACATAATAAGGAAATAAAATTTCTAGAAAAAGCATGAAAGTGTTATGGTTAAAGTTCAAGAACAATGAAACAGGAGTATTGGTTATTTAAGACAGCAGTCCTGCAAAGGCAATCATTTCATCACAACCATTTTGGTGACAAAGAATAATGTGTCAGAAGGAATTTTTAGAATAATTTTCTGATTATGTGGCAGTGTTAAATTTTTATTTGTATTATTTGTCATATATAAGTCTGTAAATCAAAAAGAAGATGGCATGACTTTCAGATGAATCTTTTCACACATATATTCTCTGTAGAAGGGCACTGTTGTGTTTTTAAAAAGGGTTAGCATTGCTGGCTTTCATTGTGCTGATATGCTTGCGTGCTAAATGAAGGCAGAAAGTGAAGCAGAGTCAACCAGGATGTCTCTAGTTTCTACATCCACATCATCTGAAATCTAGTGTTATGTCAACTAGAAATAATCCTGGGGCTAAGTATTCTAAAACTAAAAAAAATGCATTGATAAATATAGTTTTAGTTTATTTTTATAGTTTATAAAAATTTATTGTTTCTGACTTATTACAAGTCAAAACAATTTGAACATGCAGATAACTAAAAGTTCCATCTAGATGATGGTATTAATATTTAATAACTTATGATTGTGAGCCACAATTGCCCCATTTGGCTTACTGAAAAGCAGTATTTTAAATGGAGAATAGGATTTCCATAATTCCAAGCATACAGATCTTTTAAGATAAGCACTATGTTTAGATGTGAATAGATTGTGTTTGTAGTAACAGAAACTTTAATATTTTTTCTAATAGGAGCAAAAAAGCAATAAAAATAGGTAAAATTAGTTCAAAAGAAACTTCACATGTGGTCATTAAAGGAGTAGCTGGGTTTACAGGCATGTGCCACCATGCCCAGCTAATTTTGTATTTTTAGTAGAGATGGGGTTTCACCAGGTTCATCAGGCTGGTCTCGAATGCCTGACTTCAGGTGATCCCCCCACCTCGGCCTCCCAAAGTGCTGGGGTTACAGGTGTGAGACAACATGCATGGCCGGAAAAAGTATTCTTATGTTACTGTTTCTGAAACTTTCAGAAACTTTAGTCGACTCAATGGATGATGATGTACATGCAGACCACAAATTATAAATAAAATAATAGGCTCCTTTTAGCTTTTAACATTAAAACTAAATATATGTCAAAAGTAAAATTAGTGGCTCTTTTAAGTCATGAGAAGAATGTCAGTGTTAGAAAGCCTTTACCAAAATATTTGTGTTAGGCTTAGTAATGAGTGCTTTGCACCAAAAATTAAGTTCATTTGTTTTTATATGTGTCTTTTTTCTTTTTTTGTTATTTCTAGAAGTATTTTAATTTTAAAATGTAAACTATGACTGTGTTAAATGCCTTCATTTCCATGCCTTTTTGTTAATATTTTGCCTGACTGAAAAGATGAGTTTAAAAAAAAAATTTCTTGAATCAAGACCATTAATTAACATAGAGACAAAATAGCAATGAAAATCGACCTTGATTAGTAAAACAATTATCTAGCTCTTGGTAATCCTTACCTGTCTCACTCAACATAAAGTCTACATCTTTGCATCTCTCTTAGTTATAAGGAAGTGGCGTTTGATCGAATTGGTCAGCACAACATTGGGTAAAATGTAACTATGTTTTGGTCTGACAGTTACGCTTATTTATTACCAAAGAAGTTGATTTTTTTAGTATGTGATATTTTACTATTTTCTATTTATTTAGGGAAACTAAACTGACAAAGCATGAAATTAAAATTTTATTTCAAATGGAAAATGCTTAAACATGTTTTATCGTAACGAAAGCTAAAAATATTTTTGGATAAATTAAAGAACATCTCAAGTACTTCAAGTTACCTTCCCCTGACAGTAGATTATATTTTACTTTATTGCTAAAATTGAGTTTGGCTGTCTTTTTTGGCTGTATTCATCATTCTATTTTTTTGTGCAATATTTGCATCATGCATCTCACATTTTAATAGTTGTAGTTCATGTGATGTGATTTTCAAACAATTGTCCTATTGACATGGCAAGCCATCTGCTTAATCAGCAGTCACTTTATTTTCAGTCTTTTCAAAGCCACTTTGTCTGAAAAGCAAAGAGACAATTCAACCCAGTGTGCCAAGCTGGTCCCCTCCAGTGACCATCTATTCAAATTCACACAGGCAATCTCTGGTGAAGGAAGGAAGGTGCACTTCAACAGCATTTTCACAGCAAAGTGGAACAGATATTATAACATAAAAGATGAAACATTGCCTTCAAGGAAAAATAGTTGATTTTTCTTATTCTGTGTACAGGAGTATCTGATGGTTGTAAGGTTGAGAATAAAGAGTAAAGTTGTGCCAGGCTCGGTGGCTCAGGCCTGTAATCCCAGCACTTTGGGAGGCTGAGGCAGGTGGATTACAAGGTCAGGAGATCAAGACCATCCTGGCTAACACGGTGAAAGCCAGTCTGTACTAAAAAATACAAAAAATTAGCCAGGCGTCATGGCGGGCGCCTGCAGTCCCAGCTACTAGGGAGGCTGAGGCAGGAGAATGGGGTGAACCCGGGAGGCAGAGCTTGCAGTGAGCCGAGATTGCACCACTGCACTCCAGCCTGGGCAACAGAGTGAGACTCCATCTCAAAAAAAAAAAAAAAAAAAAGTAAAGTTAGAGAAAGAAAAAGCTTTACATTAGTAGTACCTTCTTGTTTGTCTAACACATCCTGAATGGTTTTGTCAAGTGTTAGGTTGCCATATCCATCATTTGTTAGACTCTGATAATCATTTTCTATCTTACCAGTGTAATTATGCAATTGACATCATCTGGAGTTGATGTCGTTGATTCTTAGGTTCTCAGACATAAAACTATTAAATTATTATTGATAAAAATATTAGGTTTTATTTGCCTGTTTGTTTTACTACAGAATATTTGATGCCAGTAAGCTTAAGTCCCTTGAACCTTTGAAAAAAATGCTTTAGCTTTTCCTGTTTGGAAAGTCAAATTTGGTCAAAAGTAAATATAACAACAAACTTGAATATAAATTATTTTTTAATTTTTAATTGAATCCAAACAATTGAATAAAACAATACATTTGATATTTACTTCAGTATATGTCAGAAATTTTCAAAAAATTCAAATAGATACAAATTTGTGACTGAGCTGAAACTTGAAAAATATACCTGCTTTCACTCTGATGGTAGTTTCTTTTGCTGTGCAGAAGATCTTTAGTTTAATTAGATCCCATTTGTCAATTTTGTCTTTTGTTGCCATTGCTTTTGGTGTTTTAGACATGAAGTCCTTGCCCATGCCTATGTCTTGAATGGTAATGCCTAGGTTTTCTTCTAGGGTTTTTATGGTTTTAGGTCTAACATTTAAGTCTTTAATCCATCTTGATTTGATTTTTGTATAAGGTGTAAGGAAGGGATCCATTTTCAGCTTTCTACGTATGGCTAGCCAATTTTCCCAGCACCATTTATTAAATAGGGAATCCTTTCCCCATTGCTTGTTTTTGTCAGGTTTGTCAAAGATCAGATAGTTGTAGATATGCGGCATTATTTCTGAGGGCTCTGTTCTGTTCCATTGATCTATATCTCTGTTTTGGTATCCATGTCCTTTGTAGGGACTTGGATGAAATTGGAAATCATCATTCTCAGTAAACTGTCGCAAGAACAAAAAACCAAACACCGCATATTCTCACTCATAGGTGGGACTTGAACAATGAGATCACATGGACACAGGAAGGGGAACATCACACTCTGGGGACTGTTGTGGGGTGGGGGGAGGGGGGAGGGATATCATTGGGGGATATACCTAATGCTAGATGACAAGTTAGTGGGTGCAGAGCACCAGCATGGCACATGTATACATATGTAACTAACCTGCACAATGTGCACATGTACCCTAAAACTTGAAGTATAATAATAAAAGAAAAAAAAAAGAAAACTATACCTGCTTTCATGACAAATCATTTTATGATCACATTAATTTTCAATTTAGCCATGTTTTGTAGTAGACTTCAGTAAAAGTCAGCTGTGGTCCAAATGTAAATACTGACATATTAGAGAAGAAAATGTTGATGATAAAGAATATAAAACAAAGCATAAAAGTGCTTGCCTTGATTTATTCCCAACCACCAACTCTGAGACCAAGATTTAACTGTTACATCAACATTGTCCACAGTGGAAAAAGCAGAATTTTAAAATCAAACACATCTCAGCTTGATTTGGGACATTAGCTGTGTGTCCAGGATAAATTATTCCACAAGCTTGAAGCTTTACTTTTTTTTTAGATGGATTCCCACTCTTGTCACCCAGGCTGGAGTGCAATGATGTAATCTCAGCTCACTGCAACCTCCACCTCCCAGGTTCAAGCAATTCTCCTGCCTCAGCCTCCCAAGTGGCTGGGATTACAGAGGCTTGCCACCACGCCTGGCTAATTTTTGCATTTTTAGTAGAGATGGGGTTTCACCATCTTGGCCAGGCTGGTAGTGAACTCCTGACCTCAGGTGATCTGCCCACCTTGGCCTCCCAAAGTGCTGGGATAATAGGTGTGAGCCACTGCGCCCTGCCTTAATCTTTATTATGTATAGAATTACTATTTCTTCCAGGGCTATTTTAATTCATACATTGTAGCTATAAGTATTTTTCATTAAAAGTCTTGTCTAAATATGGTAAATATTTGAAAATAAGATTATCATTTAAAAATATTTTATTGTAATTGTATACGTTCTGTTATATTTAATGTATTTTTTAAATGGTAATTTTTTATTTGTTGCAGGATGTCACAGTACCCAAACGGAGGGACTGGCTGAAGCCATGGCAGAAGAATGTGGATCGTGAAGATTTTATGGACATGTATTAGTTTCCCAAATTAATACTTTTATAATTTCCTATGCCTGTCTTTACTGCAATCTCTAAACACAAATTGTGAAGATTTCATGGACACTTATCAATTCCCCAATCAATACCCTTGTGATTTCCTATGCCTGTCTTTACTTTAATCTCTTAATCCTGTCAGCTGAGGAGGATGTATGCCACCTCAGGACCCTGTGATAATTGCATTAACTGCACAGATTGTAAAGCATGTGTGTTTGAACAATATGAAATCTGGGCACCTTGAAAAAAGAACAGGATAACAGCAGTTGTTTAGGGAATAAGAGAGATAACCTTAAATTCTGTCCACTGGTGAGCTGGGTGGAACAGAGCCATATTTCTCTTCTTTCAAAAGCAAATGGGAGAAATATCACTGAATTCTTTTTCTCAGCAAGGAACATCCCTGAGAAAGAGAATGCACCCCTGAGGGTGGGCCTATAAATGGCCTCCTTGGGTGTGGCCATCTTCTGTGGTCAAAACTGTAGGGATGAAATAAACCCCAGTCTCCCGCAGTGCTCCCAGGCTTATTAGGAAGAGGAAATTCCTGCCTAATAAATTTTGGTCAGACCGGTTGCTCTCAAACCCTGTCTCCTGATAAGATGTTATCAATAACAATGGTGCCTGAAACTACATTAGCAATTTTAATTTTGCCCCGGTCCTGTGGTCCTGTGATCTTGCCCTGTCTCCGTTTGCCTTGTGATATTCTATTACCTTGTGAAGTACGTGATCTTTGTGACCCACACCCTATTCATACACTCCCTCCCCTTTTGAAAGTCCCTAATAAAAACTTGCTGGTTTTGTGTCTTGGGGGGCATCATGGAACCTACTGACATGTGATGTCTCCCCTGGATGCCCAGCTTTAAAATTTCTCTCTTTTGTATTCTCTCCCTTTATTTCTCAAACTGGCAGACACTTAGGGAAAATAGAAAACAACCTACTTGACTATCAGGGCAGGTTCCCCCATATTTATTGGCATAATAGACTAAGGGTTTCTATATTGACTTTGGTAATTTTTACAAATGGTTTTTGCCTGGTACTGTTGAAGTTAGGTTGAATTTTGAACCAGTAGATTTGTTGTTTACCTTATGTGGTTTTGGGTTCATTTGTTCTATATGTATAATGCGTATCCTTTTGGGGATAATTTGGCTTTATTTCTGCTTTTTTATTTTTACATCTGGGACTGGAGAAATTGCTAGAATTTCAATAAGGTTGACTTGAAATCAGGCAACAGAAAATCCCAGAAAACACTGAAGGTTTTATGTACTGGATAATGCCTTTAGGTGAGGCTTATACATAAAACACAATTCAGTAAAATTTATATAATCATTACAAGTTTGTTAAATTTGATAACAAAATGCCTATGACATATTAGGCACTTGTCTTAGTTTGTCTTTGACATGCCTATCTTGGAGAAGCTGATATTACATGAAAGGATATTACTAATATAATATAATAAGAAGTGGAACAAATACTTATGTGCTAGAAACATTCCCCTTAATAACCCTTAAATACATTTTATTCTGGCTCAATTCTTTTTTTTTTGAATTGATGGAGTTTCTCTCTTGTTGCCCAGGCTTGAGTGCAATGGCATGACCTCGGCTCACTTCAACCTTCACCTCTTGGGTTGAAACTATTCTCCTGCCTCAGCCTCCCAAGTAGCTGGGATTACAGCACCTGCCACCATGCCTGGCTAATTTTTTGTATTTTTAGTAGAGATGGGGCTTCACTATATTGGCCAGGCTGTTCTTGAACTCCTGATCTCAGGTGATCTGCCCACCTCGGCCTCCCAAACTCCTGGGATTACAGGCGTGAGCCACCACACCCAGCTGACTCAATTCTTTTGGCACAACTATTTTTTGTCCCACAGGCTTCTTCCCACCAAATTTAAGCCATGGTGTTTTCAAGTTTGTATTTTTAGTTTTATTTGCTTGTTTTGTTTTTTACTTTTTTGGAAAGGGGAGTGTGGGCTTACCTCTGTGAAATGAGATCAGCCTATTTGTAGTTTTACCTAGTAAGCTTCATAGTTGACATCATTATATTGAGTTTCCCTAGGCCACCCTGAGCTTCAGAGCTGACCATCCTACCTCATTCCTCTTGGTTTTTCAGGCTCTGATGTTAAGTCCCTCTCACTTCAAATTTGAGCTTTCATAATGCCTCAGTTCGAAAGAAGCAGAAGAAAGTGTTGCCATATTTATCTGGGTGAGGATCAAGACTTTACATCCAACATTAATAGTAAAAAGCAACACTTTTAATAATGTGGACATGTTTCACTCAAATTAAATATAAGCAGTTTTAGCAACATGCCAATATAGTCAAAATAAATAACTATCAAGTTAACCAAAATGTTCTGCTTTAGATTTTCCCAGCACAAAGATCAATATGTATGCATTGGTGGATGTTAGGGTTTTTTTGGTTTAGGTTTTGTATGTTTCTTTGTTTTTATTTTTTACAGATTTTCATCCTACTTTACATTGATGTAAATCTAACTACCCAAGGCTTACCAGAAGCTTTATTTTACATTATTTCTACCAAAAATTCATATCCTCAAATATTAAAGGTGGCATTCTGTATTACCATTTTTCAAGTAATGTAGTCTGCATTTATTAGTACATTTCAATATATGTTTTTTACATGGGGTAAGGTTATAAAAATGCCATGCAGTTGATTTTCTAGGTAACAACAGAATCTGTTTTCTCAAACAGTAGCATGAGAATTCTTGATATACCACCTTCAGAGGTACTGAAAACAACTATATAATTTTGCTGAAATTTGGATTTTTTCATAATTTCTTCAGAGGCTGAGTCATGGCAACATATGACAGCTGAATTTATTCTTCTTGTCTAAATGTTGTGGAGCCACATCCACCTGTGTAAATAACACTAACTGGGTAAAATATTTTTTATACTAAGCCAGAAATCATTATACCTGGTGGTTTTATTTTAAATATATGAACAGTATTCTATAACATTCAAATAAGTAATAGAAATTTAATTCTATATATATGGAAAGAAAATTTATACAGGCACACTGAGAATAAATTGGAATCTGGAACTGAATGCTGGTTAGCATGGCCTATAAAATCATAAGCAAGTTAATTACTTCTAAGATACAATGAGGGTACAGGCATTGGATGAGGATGCTCCTATTCCAAATAGGAGAACTGGACAAAACAAAGGGGCTAAAGGCCCCATGCAAGTCCAGAATCCAGCAGGGTGGTCATTGAATTTTAAAGCTCCAAAATAATCTCCTTTGACTCTATGTCTCACATTCAGGTCACACTGGTGCAAGAAGTAGCCTCCCATGGTCTTGGGCAGTTCTGCCCCTGTGCCTTTGCAGGGTACAGCCCCATTCCAAGCTGCTTTCATGGGCTGGCATTGAATGTCTGCAGCTTTTCCAGATGTACAGTGCAAGCTGTTGGTTAATCTACCATTCTGGGATCTGGAGAACAGTGGCTCTCTTCTCACAGTTCCACTAGGCAGTGCCCCATTGGGTACTGTGTGTGAAGGCTCTGACCTCACATTTCTTTTCTGCACTGCCCTAACAGAGGTTCTCCATGAGGGCTCCACCCCTGCAGCAAACTTCTGCCTGTATATCCAGGCTTTTCCTTACATCTTCTGAAATCTAGGTGGAGGTTCCCAAACCCCAATTCTTGACTTCTGTGCACTCACAGGCTCAACGCCACATGGAAGCCAACAAAGCTTGGGGCTTGTACCTACAGAAGCAATGGTCTGAACTGTACCTTGGCCCCTTTGAGCCACAGATGTAGTGGCTGGGACACAGGGCACCAAGTACCAAGGCTGCACAAAGCAGCAAGGTCTGGACCCTGCACACAAAGCCATTTTTTCCTCTTAGGCCTCCTGGTCTGTGATGGGAAAGGCTTCTGTGAAGGTCTCTGACATGCCCTGGAGACATTTTCCTCATTGTCTTGGTGATTAACATTAGGCTTCCTGTCGCTTATGCAAATTTTTGCAGCTGGCTTGAATTTTTCCCCAAATAATGGGTTTATCTTTTCTATAGCATTATCAGGCTGCAAATTTTTCCAAACTTTTATGCTCTGCTTCACTTTTAAATGTAAGTTTCAATTTCAGATCATCTAAATTCAAAGTTCCACAGCTCTTTAGGGCAGGGGGAAAATGCTGCCAGTCTCTGCTTAAGCATAGCAAGAGTGACCTTTGTTCTAGTTCCTAATAGGTTTCTCATCTCCATCTCCAGACCCAAAGTCGCTTTTACATTGCTAGGTATCTTTATAGCAGTACCCAACTCTACCAGTATGAATTTACTGTATTAGTCCATTCTCACACTGCAATAAAAATCTTCCCAAGACTGGGTAATTTATAAAGCAAAAAGGTTAAATTGACTCACAGTTACTCGTAGCTGGGGAGGCCTCAGGAAACTTACAATCATGGCAAAAGGCAAAGGAGAAGCAAACTGGACCTTCTTACATGACAGCAGGAGAAAGAACATGTGTGTGTGTGCAGAAAAAACTACCATTTATAAAACCATCAAAATTCATGAGAATTTACTCAGTATCACAAGAACAGCATGGGGGAAACCACCCCCCATGATCCAGTCACTTCCCACCAGGTGTCTCCCTTAACACCTGGGGATTACAATTCAAGATGAGATGGGGGTACACAAAGCCTAACCATATCTATCATAAAGACATAGTCCCAATTCCCTGATATCCCTGCTTCCTGACCCCTGTGTGAGACAGGCTATGTGTGTCCCAGAATGGCCTGTTTCTCTTGATTTGGGGGGCAGTGTATTAAGCACCTTTCAGCAAAATTCACCTTCTCTTTATGAATTAAGTCCTAGGCACCATTCACAATGCCAGCTCTCAATAAATTTGTTACTGTAATTTTTTTCCAGAAGTGATATCGGAGCGGAAACACAAAGCAAAAGAAACCTAAAGATAGGTAATGCTGAATGGTTGGAAAGTATATTTATGAAAGAGCTATGCTTCACAAAAGCATCTTTGCTATGATTCAAGGGAGAAATCGTTAAACACCAACCCCATCATATCCACATAAATCCAGCAATCTAGAGACTGTTGGTCTTTTTTCTTTTCTGCATTATGTTTCTGCTCTCAGTAAAGCAAGTTTTTAATTGTAATATTGAAGCATTGGAAATTTAACACTAAGATACTTTCAAAAATAAGTGCTTTTTTTTTTTTTGTTTGTTTTTGTTTTTTTTTGACAGAGTCTCACTCTGTCATCCAGGCTAGAGTGCAGTGGCGTGATCTCGGCTCGCTGCAATCTCTGCCTCCCAGGTTCATGCCATTCTCCTGCCTCAGCCTCCTGAGTAGCTGGGACTACAGGTGACTGCCACCACACCTGGCTAATTTTTTTTTTTTGTATTTTTAGTAGAGACGGGGTTTCACCATGTTAGCCAGGATGGTCTTGACCTCCTGGCCCCGTGATCCACCAGGCTTGGCCTCCCACAGTGCTGGGATTACAGACGTGAGCCACCGCGCCCGGCCAAAACTAAGTTTTAATTATAGTAGGGAAACTAATGCAAGGCCAGAAATTATTGACTTTGTTCACAGAATGCTAATTTTCCCCACACAAAATATGCAGAGCTATGTTTCATTAATATGCAGAGCTATGTTTTATTACCAAAACACACTATTCCAAATGCTCAAAAGGAAAAAAGATATTTGTACTCTGTGCTAAAACAGATTCATCTGTGGTATTTAAATGACAAAACTAGAATTGTTTCAACCCAGAAATCATTGGTTAAAATTTCCATGATTAAAGTTTTGCTCAAGCAAATCTTAAAACACAGGTATGTATTTCAGAAGATCAACCAAATTCAAGAGTTTGGATCCCATTTTGGGTACCTTATAAGTAGAAATTTCAAAATCTTCCTCAAAAACATCTGCATCTGTTTTCCAGATTCTTGCAACCCAAAACAAAACTTCATAGAAACTCTCCACAAGAGTTGGTAGACAGCTAAACCTTCTCCAAATTGAGTTATGGACAATAAGGTCTTGATTATAGCAGAACTGGAAGGTCTATTTACAAGCCTGCACACAGTACTATGTAAGTTGGCTGCTGGGGCACATAGATTGGCAGGGAAAGGCCAGGGAGGCAGTTGAATTCCTGGCATTTTTCAAAGCTTTTTTTCCTAGTTTCATTATTCCTAGAATTTTGAAGCTTATTAAGACATTCCCTATCCTATGTCATACTCTAGAGCACTCTAGTAAGAATCCTGATAGAATAAACTCTTTTTTTGTTTTTAAAAGTGTACATTTCAATGACTTTTAATAATTTTTTTATACTTTAAGTTCTAGGGTACATGTGCACAACTTGCATGTTTGTTACATATGTATACATAGGCCATGTTGGTGTGCTGCACCCGTTAACTCGTCATTTACATTAGGTATATCTCCTATTGCTATCCCTCCCCCCTTCCCCCACCCCACAACAGGGCCTGGTGTGTGATGTTCCCCTTCCTGTGTCCAAGTGTTCTCATTGTTCAATTCCCACCTATGAGAGAGAGCATATGGTGTTTGGTTTTTTATTCTTGCGATAGTTTGCTGAGAATGATGGTTTCCAGCTTCATCTGCGTCCCTACAAAGGACATGAACTCATCATTTTTCACGGCTGCATAGCATTCCATTGTGTATATGTGCCACATTTTCTTAATCCAGTCTATCATTGATGGACATTTTTGTTGGTTCCAAGTCTTTGCTATTGTGTAATAGTGCCCCAGTAAACATACATGTGCATGTGCCTTTATAGCAGCATGATTTGTAATCCTTTGGGTATATACCCAGTAATGGGATGGCTGGGTCAAATGGTATTTCCAGTTCTAGATCCTTGAGGAATCACTGCACTCTCTTCCACAATGGTTGAACTAGTTTACAGTCCCACCAACAGTGTAAGTGTTCCTATTTCTCCACATCCTCTCCAGCACCTGTTGTTTCCTGACTTTTTAATGACCGCCATTCTAACTGGTGTGAGATGGTATCTCATTGTGGTTTTAATTTGCATTTCTCTGATGACCAGTGATGATGAGCATTTTTTCATGTGTCTGTTGGCTGCATAAATGTCTTCTTTTGAAAAGTGTCTGTTTATATTGTTCACCCACTTTGTGATGGGGTTGTTTGTTTTTTTCTTGTAAATTTGTTTGGGTCATTTGTAGATTCTGGATATTAGCCTTTTGTCAGATGAGTAGATTGCAAAAATCTTCTCCCATTCTGTAGGTTGCCTGCTCACTCTGATGGTAGTTTCTTTTGCTGTCCAGAAGCTCCTTAGTTTAATTAGATCCCATTTGTCAATTTTGGCTTTTGATGCCATTGCTTTTGGTATTTTAGACATGAAGTCCTCACCCATGCCTATATCCTGAATGGTACTGCCTAGGTTTTCTTCTAGGGTTTTTATGGTTTTAGGTCTAACATTTAAGTCTTTAATCCATCTTGAATTAATTTTTGTATAAGGTGTAAGAAAGTGATTCAGTTTCAGCTTTCTCCATATGGCTAGCCAGTTTTCCCAGCACCATTTATTAAATAGGGAATCCTTTCCCCATTGCTTGTTGTTGTCAGGTTTTTCAAAGATCAGATGGTTGTAGATGTGTGGCATTATTTCTGAGGGCTCTGTTCTGTTCCATTGGTCTATATCTCTGTTTTGGTACCAGTACTATGCTCTTTCAGTTACTGTAGCCTTGTAGTATAGTTTGAACTCAGGTAGTGTGATGCCTCCAGCTTTGTTCTTTTGGCTTAGGATTGTCTTGGAAATGTGGGCTCTTTTTTGGTTCCATATGAACTTTAAAGTAGTTTTTTCCCAATTCTGTGAAGAATGTCATTGGTAGCTTGATGGGGATGGCATTGAATCTATAAATTACCTTGGGCAGTATGGCCATTTTCATGATATTGATTCTTCCTATCCATGAGCATGGAATATTCTTCCATTTGTTTGTATCCTCTTTTATTTCCTTGAGCAGTGGTTTGTAGTTCTCCTTGAAGAGGTCCTTCACATCCCTTGTAGGTTGGATTCCTAGGTATTTTATTCTCTTTGAAGTAATTGTGAACGGGAGTTCACTCATGATTTGGCTCTCTGTTTGTCTGTTATTGGTGTATAAGAATGCTTGTGATTTTTACACATTGATTTTGTCTCCTGAGACTTTGCTGAAGTTGCTTATCAGCTTAAGAAGATTTTGGGCTGAGACAATGGGGTTTTTTAAATATACAATCATGTCGTCTTCAAACAGGGACAATTTGACTTCCTCTTTTCCTAATTGAATAATTTTTATTTCTTTCTCCTGCCTGATTGCCCTGGCCAGAACTTCCAACACTATGTTGAATAGGAGTGGTGAGAGAGGGCATCCCTGTCTTGTGCCAGATTTCAAAGGGAATGCTTCCGGTTTTTGCCCATTCAGTATGATATTGGCTGTTGTTTGTCATAAATAGCTCTTATTATTTTGAGATATGTCCCATCAATACCTAATTTATTGAGGTTTTTAGCATGAAGCGTTGTTGAATTTTGTCAAAGGCCTTTTCTGCATCTATTGAGATAATCATGTGGTTTTTATCATTGGTTCTGTTTATATGCTGGATTACATTTATTGATTTGCGTATGTTGAACCAGCCTTGGATCCCAGGGATGAAGCCCACTTGATCATTGTGGATAAGCTTTTTGAGGTGCTGCTGGATTCTGTTTGCCAGTATTTTATTGAGGATTTTTGCGTCGATGTTCATCAGGGATATTGGTCTAAAAATCTCTTTTTTTTGTTGTGTCTCTGCCAGGCTTTGGTATCAGGATGATGCTGGCCTCATAAAATGAGTTAGGGACGATTCCCTCTTTTTCTATTGATTGGAATAGTTTCAGAAGGAATGGTACCAGCTCCTCTTTGTACTTCTGGTAGAATTCGGCTGTGAATCCGTCTGGTCCTGGACTTTTTTTGGTTTATGCCCAATCAAAAATTTTTATCCAGAATATATGAAGATTTGTAGGAGATTTTTATATATTCTGGATATAAATTTTTGATTGGACATAAACATTGCAGATATCTTCTCCCACTTTAACTTGTCTTTTCTTTCTCTTAATGGTGAATTCGTTAATACCAATTTCTTAATTTTAATGTAGTTCAAGTTATCAGACTATTTCTGTGTAGTTAATGCTTATTTAGTCTTGCTTAAGAAATTTTTGTCTACCCCGTTGTCATAAAGGTATTCTTCTATGTTACAGAAGCTTTTCTTTTTGAATTTTTAACGTTTCAGATTGAGCTTTATAACCCACCTACGATTGACTTTTGTTTGTGAAGTAAGATAAGGGCTAAATTCTTTGATTCCCCCATTTTGATATCCAAATTATCTACCACCATTTATTGAGAAGATTATTATTTCCTCACTGCACTGCAGTTTCACCTTTGTCATAAATCAGGTGATGGTATAAGTAAAAGTTTGTTTTTGGTTTCTCTATTTGTATGTCCTGCTAATACCATCTTATTTTAATTGTAATAAAGTTGGAAACATCTGATGGTACACATTCTTGAGCTCTGTTCTTCTTCAGAACTTTCTTGGTTCTTCTTGTCCTTTTAAATTTTCAAAAAAATTTTAAATTAGCTTGTCAATTTTCAAATTACCTGATAGGATTTTGAGTAGGATTGCATTCAACCATAATTTAATGAGTAGAAATTACTTATTCACAATATAAAATCTTTCTATTCATAAACATTGTATGTCTTTTTTATGTATACAATATTTATATCTGTTTTAAAAATTTTACTTTAGGTTCTGGGATACATGTGCAGAATGTACAGATTTGTTACATAGGTATACATGTGCTGTGGTGGTTAACTCCATCTATCAACCTGTAATCTAAGTTTTAAGCCCCACATGCATGAGGTATTTGTCCTAATGCTCTCCCTCCTCTTCCCCTCCAACCCCTGACAGGTCTCTGTGTGTGAGGTTCCCCTTCATGTGTCCATGTGTTCTCATTATTCAACTCACATTTGTGAGTGAGAACATGCACTGTTTGGTTTTCTGTTTCTGTGTTAGTTTGCTGAGAATGATGGCTTCTAGTTTCATCCATGTTCCTGCAAAGAACATGAACTCATGCTTTTTTTATGGCTGCATCATATTCCATGGTGTACTCTAATTTGTACATGTACAAATTAGAACTCAGGATTAGGAAACTCACTCAAAACCACACAATTACATGGAAATTGAACAACCTGCCCCTGAATGACTACTGGGTAAGTAACGAAATTAAGGCAGAAATAACAAAGTTGTTTGAAACCAGTGAGAAAAAAGAGACAACATACCAGAATCTCTGAGACACAGCTGAAGTGGTGTTAAGAGGGAAATTTATAGCACTAAATGCCCACAACAGAAAGCTGGAAAGATCTAAAAATCGACCCCCTAATATCACAATTAAAAAACCTAGAGAAGAGTAAACAAATTCAGAAGCTACCAGAAGACAAGCAATAACTAAGATCAGAGTAGAACTGAAAGAGATAGAGACATGAAAAACCCTTTGAAATATCAGTGAATCCAGGAGATTAATAAAATAAATGGACCACTAGCTAGACTGACAGAGGAAAAAGAGAAGAATCAAGTAGACATAATAAAAAATAATAAAGGGGGCTGGGTGCAGTGGCTCATGCCTGTAATCCCAGCACTTTGGGAGGCTGAGGCAGGTGGATAACGAGGTCAGGAGTTTGAGACCAGCCTGGCCAATATGGTGAAACCCCATCTCTACTAAAAATACGAAAATTTGCTGCATGTGGTGGTGTGTGCCTACTGTCCCAGCTACTGGGGAGGCTGAGGCAGAAGAATTGCTTGAAGCCCCGAAGTGGAGGTTGCAGTGAGCCAAGATTACACCACTGCGCTCCAGCTTGGGTGACAGAGTGAGACTCCATCTCAAAAAAAAAAAAAAAAGAATGATAAAGGAGGTATCACTATTGATCCCACAGAAATACAAATTACACTCAGAGAATACTATAAATGCCTCTCTGCAAATAAACTTGAAAATCTAGAAAATATGGATACATTCCTGGCACATACCCCCTCCCACGACAAAATCAGGAAGAAGTAGAATCCCTGAATAGACCCATAACAAGTTCTGAAATTGAAGCAGTAATTAATAGCCTACCAACCAAAAAAAGCCCGGGACCAGATGGATTCATAGCTGAATTATACTGGAGATATAAAGAAGAGCTGGTACCATTCCTTCTGAAACTATTCCGAACAATGGTAAAAGAGGGACTCCTCCCTAACTCATTTTATGAGGCCAGCATCATCCTGATACCAAAACCTGGCAGAGACTCAACAAATACAGAAAATTTCAGGCCAATATCCCTTATGAACATTGATGTGAACATCCTCAATAAAAGACTGGCAAAGTGAATCCAGCAGCACATACAAAAGCTTATCCACCATGTGCAACACTTTTTTTAAAGGCATGCTTCAATAAAGAAACATTTCCATTTAGTCAGGAGACTATCTCTTTGAGTCTAACATAGATTACAGCCTTGACATGAATAAGATTCTTCTTTTATGTACTCAATAAATGTTTACTTACAGCCTATTTTATGCTGGGTAGTATTATGGGAACTGGAGAGAGAAGGTCTGTCTTTATGGAGCTTGCAGTACAGTGACAGAGATAGAACATAAATGCATAAACAGTTGCACACTGAAGTGATGGATGTACTAAGTGCTATGAAGAAATACATTAGCCAAGTGTGGTGGTGCTCACCTGTGGTCCCAGCTACTTGGGAGGCTGAGACAGGAGGTCTGCTTGAGCCCCAGAGTTTGAGGCTGCAGTGATCCATGATTGTGCCACTGCACCCCAGCCTTGGTTACAGATTGCGGCCCTGTCTAAATAAAAAGTATAATAATACAAAGAAAATAAGGTAGGGTAATCACATTCATGGTGTCAGCGACTGCTACTTTAGATAAGGAGCTCTGGAACAATCTTTTTGAGGAGATGACACTTGAGCAGGTTAGAAGAATGGTATGACGGAGTAAGTTAAGCGAATGTCTAGAGGGCAGAGAGAAGAGACACTGTGCAGAGTCTGAATACAGACAGCACTTGATGAGCTCAAAGATCACTACAAAGTCCAGTCAGGCTGCAGGCACTGGGAGGAGGAAAGGAGAATGCACCGTCTGAGGAGCAGATAAACACAGACCATAGTAAAGAGCTTGGATTTCTTTGTTAATTGTGATAGGTAACCACTGGAGGATTCAGAGCTGGGAATGAAATGGTATAAGATATGTTCTTACAGGAATAGCCCAGCTTTGTGGGAGTATAGATTACAGATTACCATAAATAGAATAATAATAAATGTAAAGGCAGCTTAGGAATGGTTATATCTGTCCAGGGGTTGATACTGGTGGTGTTAGAACTGTGAGGTCCAGTATGATAGCCACCAGCTGCTTTTAGTTTTTTACACTTAAATTAATTAAAATACCATAAAATTTATTCCTACCAGGGACTTGGGAGGAAAGGGAGAATGAGGAGTTGTTGCTTAATGAGTACAGAGTTTCAGTTTGGGGTGAAAATTTTTTTGGGAAATACATAGTTTTGATGATTGCAAAACATTCTGAATGTAATTAATGCCTCTGACTTTTATGTTTAAAATGGCAAAGCTTATTATATGTGCTTTACCACAATAAAACATTATAAAATTAATCACAGAACCAAAACTCTAAAACCATTTTTTAAAATTGTATAAATTTAAGGATTGCAAGTGCAATTTTGTTACATGGGTATATGGGGTAGGAGTGAAGTCTGAGCTTTTAGTGTGTTTATCACTGGAACAATGTACACTGTATCCACTAAGTAATTTCTCATCACCCTTACCCCTCCCACCCTCTCACCCTTCTGAGTCTACAGTGTCTTATCATTTTACACTCTTTGTTTATGTGTACACATTATTTATTTCCCATTTTTAAGTAAGAACATGCAGTATTTGATTTTATGTTTCTGAATTGCAAAACTATAAAACTCTTAGAATAAAAAATAACAATAAATCTTTATGGCCTTTGATTTGGCAGTAGTTTCTTAGATATGGCACCAAAAGCACAGTGATAAAAGAAAATGTACTGGGCTTCATCAAAATTAGAAACATTTGTGTTTCAAAGGATGTAACAAAGAAAATAAAACGACAACCAGAAAAGTGGAGAAAATGTTTGCAACTTATATATTTGATTAGAAATCTGTATCCAAAATGCACAAATAACTTTTACAACTCAACAACAAAAAGAAAAAATACATAAAAATAGGCAAAATATTTAAATAGACATTTTTGTGAAGAAGATATAAGAGCGTCCAATAAGTACTTGAAGAAAAGCCTAACATCACAAGCCATCAAGAAAATGCAAAATCAAAACCACAAGCAGATATCACTTAACATCCACTAGTGTACCCACAATAAAAAATGACAAATGGTTGGGCACGGTGGCTCACGCCTGTAATCCCAGCACTTTGGGAGGCTGAGGCGGGCGGATCACGAGGTCAGGAGATCAAGACCATCCTGGCTAACATGGTGAAACCCCATCTCTACTAAAAAATACAAAAAATTAGCCGGGCGTGGTGGCAGGCGCCCGTAGTCCCAGCTACTCGGGAGGCTGAGGCAGGAGGATGGCGTGAACCCGGGAGGTGGAGCTTGCAGTGAGCTGAGAGTGCGCCACTGCACTCCACCCTGGTGAGGCCGTAGAGAAATTAGATCTTTCATACATCGCTGGTGGGAAAGTAAAATAGTGCACACATTGGAAAACTGAGGTGATTGCTGAAAAGGTTATGCATAGGTAACTTATGACCCAGCAATTCCATTCTTAGGTACATACCCGAAAGAAATGAAAACTTATGAATGAAATATACAAAAGTTTGTACCTAAATATTATAGTGGCATTATCATAATTCTGAATAATACATACTAAATCGAAGGGATATTAAAAGTAATATTGATGAAATAAAGTTAGAAATATAAAATTTTTACCAGCGATTGATTGAGCTGATTCAAATTACTTCTTACAGTCTTCAATTCCATATTTTGTATATTCGGAGAGTGAGTTCAAGTTGCTTCACTTCTAACTTTTTCTTTTGTTGCTCTTCGATTTTTCCTAATTCTTCCCTAATTTTTTCATTTAATATATTGGCATTTCTTCTCTTCTTCTTGGTTTAAAGTCAATCTGCCATTAAATATACTTATCTTAAAATTCATTTTGTTAGAAAATAGAATTCACTTTGAGATCTACTTCTTTGTATATTGGTTTATTATTCCAATAAAATTTCTATATTCTTGAATATGTTTTTTCTTTCTAGTTCTGAGGTATTTAATTTATTACTGAACTCTCTTCCAAATGATGCACATACTTGAAAAATAATGAGAAAGAACACCTTCTAGTTAGAAAGATTCTGTTACTAGTAACTTCAACAACAGTTATGGAAAAGAATACTGGAAGTTATCCAGTAAAATTATAAGTTGAAAATTATTATTTTAAAAATATAACAGTCAAAATTACTCCTCAATAAGGACAGATCATTTAGAGTTAACTAATTAAAATGACGTTACTTTTTATAAACAAGTTTACATATTCATTAGACATAAATATTCATCTTTATAAAATAAGGCAAGTATCCTTAAAAACAATTATAATATTAAAATCTGAGACTAGGCTGAAAAATCTAATATCTGTTATCCCATATATGTTTTGTTTCTTTTTTTAGTAATACTTTAAATGTATCTTGTTGATTATTATACATTTTATCAACAAATTTTAAATCTCTTTTAGAATAACACAGAATATATTTAATTAAAATATAAAAATAATAAGCATAACCCTGAATTAATTTTATTTATGTAGGAGAGAGAGAGATGTTGAATATACTAGTCATAAATTACTCTATATTTTTCTTTATACTCCATGCATATTAACATTACAAGTGTATAATTAAAGGAAAATGATTATTGGGGGTAGAGGAACCTATAATTTAAGCAAATATTTTTATAGTGAAGAATTTATTCCAAGTCAATAATTAGAATGATAGAAAAAGATTTACATGCAGTTATGCCTTGCAGCACTTATTATAACACAAAAAATTAAAAATAAAAAATTAATTTGTTAAGTAATAATGGGATTTCCAAATAATGGCCTTCTATGCAGCCATTAAAATTGTGATTTAAATAAATATGCATTTAATTAACAGGAGATGTATTCACAGTTAAGAAATTGTATTGTTTAGTTGAATTTGACACTCTACAAGGCAGAGATTTCTTTCTCCAGTTAAACCTCAGAAGGTATGTCAGCTAGTACAAAAAGTATCCTATATACTAGTATGTCATACCTCACACTGCAGAGCTCTTGTTCTCTTTTAAGTTTTTGATTCTCTATGATTTTATTTCTTTTGCTTCTGTTAGTTCCTTCTGTAGTACACGAAGCTTATTTTTCATTTGTTTCATTTTTGCTGTAAGTTGTTCACAGGGATTTTTTTTTCTTTTTTTTTTTTTTTGACGGAGTCTTGCTCTGTTGCCTAGGCTGGAGTGCAGTGGTGCGATCTCCACTCACTGCAAGCTCTGCCTCCCGGGTTCATGCCATTCTCCTGCCTCAGCCTCCCGAGTAGCTGGGACTACAGTCACCTGCCACCACGCCTGGCTAATTTTTTTTTTTTTTTGTATTTTTAGTAGAGACGGGGTTTCGCTGTGTTAGCCAGGATGGTCTTGATCTCCTGACCTCATGATCTGCCCGCCTTGGCCTCCCAAAGTGATGAGATTACAGGCGTGAGCCATGGCGCCTGGCCCACAGGGATATTTTTTAAGTTCCCTTGCTCTTTCACAAGAAATAACTGCATCCAAGATTTTTGATAGGCTAGTTGAATCTGTCTCAAGGAGGAGATAGAAATAAAATATATTAGTACTTTTGGGATATAGAGAACTGCATATTTTAACAATCACTAATTCATACACTGATCAAATATATATTGATTGCCTGCCACGTGGAAGGCATTATACTAAGCTCTGCAGATTAAACAGAAAAAAACAAAAACCTCTGCATTTGTTTAACTTAAAATGTGCTAAAAGACAAAGCCCCAGAAAAGTGACAGTTATAAATTCAGATAAATACTGTAAGAAACAGATTGCTAAGATTTAGATCTATACTAGGCTCATGGAAAATTCCCCCAAGGGATGTATAGCTACACTGAGGAATGAAGAATGAAAAGGAAGCAGTTGAGCAAACAGGGAAGGAAAGAATTTTAGCCAGTCTGTGGCATGTGCTGAAACTCTAGTGTAGTCTTCCTCTAGCCAAGGGAGAGCAACAGGTATGATTTTTCTTCTTAGCTAAAATAACTAAAATCAAAACACACAAAATAAATTAAACAATTTTTCAGATACTGGACATTAGGCAAAGAAGATAATAATCCCTGAAAAACAGAAAATAAAAAAACGAAAGAAAGCAAACCTTATGGATGTTTCAGCTTCCTGTCTTGGCAGAGATTCCGAGACATGACACAGGAAGAAAAAACTGAGGTGGGATCTACCAGACTCTCTTGGTTACACTGATGAAGCTTAGAGTCTGGTAAAACCAAAGCAGGCAGATATTACAGAACAAACACTGAGGAGGAGAGAGAGATACAGAAGCAACGGCAAGAAACCCCCTGTCAGTATTTAGCAAAATTTTGAAAATTGCATGGGAGATAGAAAACTACCTAAGAACAAACCGGGTGGGGGTGGGGGTTGGCTTATAAAATTAGAGGAAATCACACCTGGTACTCATACAGTGCCAAGAAGAGTGTCTGTTTTTATAGATTTGCCTGGGAAAACTCAGACTTCACAGGAAAATGAATACTCAGAAAGGCCTTGTCTCAGGTATGGGGAGTTAGCTCACACCATAAAAAGAAAAATGAAAAGGATCAAGCTGTTTATAAGTAACTCAACTCTATTCTACTATAAAAATCAAGAAAATAAATAAAGTAACAGAAGATACTTTTAAAAACCAAATTGCACTTTTAGAGATACAAATTACAATGCTGGAGATGAAAGCTACACTGAGTAGATATGAGCATAGATTAATTTGCCATCATGAAAGAAAATATTTACAAATTTGAGACACTAGTGAACTATGAGCAAACTTCCAGCAGGTAGTATATAAGTCCCCAAAGAGGTAGGAGGAGAGGCAGAATCAAAAATTTGAGGAAAAATTGGCTAAATATGTTCTAAACTTAACGAAAGCCATAATCCCACAGATCTAGGCTGGGATCTGGTTGATAGAAAAGAAATGAAAATATGATTGTTATTTCTTATACCATCTATGATATGATATAATATTACTTGAAGGTGGATTGTGATGAGGTAAATTCATACATTATAAATCCTAAAGCAACTACTAAGACAGCAAAGAGTTATACCTAATACCAAATAAACTTATACCAAAAAAGATATGACTAAATTGTAAAGAAATGTAAAACTAGATTAATAACTAAAAAAGTTATGCATATACAGATATGTAACTAAATCATAAAAATTACTAAACTAGTCTGAAGGAAGCAGAAAAAGGAAAAAAGCAAAGCAAAGAAGATCTGAGACTAATAGAAATCAAACAGTGTGATGACAGACAACTCTAATCATATCAATAATTACATTATAAATTAAACTGATCTAAAAACCTCTGCTCAAAGGCAGATTATCAGAATGGATAAAAGAGCAAGTCTTATCTGTATAATGAGTATAAGAAATAAACTTTAAATATAAAGACAAAAATTGGTTAAAAGATGAAACAAGATATATCACACTAACACTACAAAAGAAGGCTGAGGAAGAGTGGTTGTATTAATACCAAAGTACATTTCATAGCAAAAATATTACCAGAAATAAACAAGGTCATTTCATAGTGACAAATGGTTCAATTAATCAAGAAAACATAACAGTCCTAAATATTTATGTATATAATAACATAAATGCTTCAAAATACATGATACAAAAATTGATAGAACTGCAAAAGAAATAGACAAATTCCCAAGTATAGCCTAAAATTTCTAAACCCCTTACTCAAGTGGTATAATAAGGAGGCAGAAAATTCTGGAAAAATGTTGGCATGTGTACTCACCACTCTAGACATTTTCCCACTACCTGTGTATGTATGCCGCTTTAGTTACAAAAAGTTAGGTAGGATCTTGGGAGATTTCTTCTTGGATACCAGAATTATCAACCACATCAACAGTATACCTAACAACCAAAATAATTCTTTTGAACAGATTACCACGGAAGAACTTGTAAGTTAAATCCAGTAGCCTTTTGAGTAATTTTACTGCTTGAAATTCTCACATTTAAAAGAAATTTGCAACATCACTTTCTCAGACTCCTCTCCTACATTTGTTTAACCACTGCTCAGTCTCCTTTACCAAGTCCTTTGACTCTTGTGAAATGTTGATATTCCCAGGGTTTTGTCAATGGCTTTCTTTTTATTCTACATCTTCTGCCTCATGGATAAGCTCATTGAGATCTATGCCTTTGCCTAATAATTATAATAAAGGTATTCTAAGCCTGCATCTTCAACCAGAGTTCTATCTCCAGCTAGAAATGCATATAATCCGATTACCTACTGAAAGTATCCCTCATGAATGTTTCATTGAACTCAATATGTAAAGAAAACTGTTGGTCTGTCCCATGACTGTTTGCACTTCCCTGTTAACCTGACAAATTCCTACTCCTTCCCCATGAGCATTGTAAATGCTTGTGCACAATCTGAAAACTTATGAATGACCTGAGATTTTATCTGTCCCTAGCTTTTTAAACTCAATTATCACTAAGCCATATTAACTGTACCTCTTTTCTGCCTTTGCTTTATCTTTCCAGTGCCACTGGAAATACAAACTTATTTATTTTATATTTATATTTCCTTGTTAAACGTGGCCCCTTAACTGATGGCTTTCACAGGGAAAAAGAAACCCTACAAATTACTGTTCTTATTTTTTAAGTTAAAAAAATTAATCAAAATAAAATAATGCCAAAGAAGGACCTACATGTTTAAATGTGTAAATTGAGCTTCTGAACTTTATTCATTTTACCCTTGATGGATCAAACTTTCATAATAGATTGATACTAGGCCACAGATTGGTTACAAAAAAAAAAAAAGACTATCACATGAACTACTACAAAAGCTTAATCTTTCAATCTTTTTATGTGATTATCCTCCATCTATCTTCTATATAAAGGGCCAGAAACTATAGGCCACAGGCCAAATTCAGCTTTCTAAATGGTTTTTTATACAAACTTTTATTGGAGTACAATCATGCCTCTTTGCCCATACATTATCTATGACTCCTTTCACTCTACAATGGCAGAGTTGAATAGCTGTAATAGAGACTACATGGCCCAACATATTCGCTATCTGGCACTTTACAGGAAAAGTTTGCCAATCTCTGCTTTATACCATGACAAGAATGCCCTGATACTCAAATCTAATCTTGTGACTCCCCTGCTCAAACTTTTCCACTGAATTCCTGCAGAAAACATTGCTGGCTTCCTATGCATAGTCATTATTTATTCTTTATTGCTGCAGAAACACATGCTCATTTAGATATTTATTATTCCATTACCCCCATCCCATCTTAAAAGAAAAATCATTATTGTAAGCTAATCACAGTAATTACATTTGCTTTCCTAGTGATTGGTATAGAAATAAGCATATGATATAATCCAGCCAATAAAATGTTACAGAAAGATTACTGAAAGCTTCCAAGTTTTCTTCCTATTTAAAAAAAAAAATGTGAACAAAAGCAGCCCTCCCAGCCTTCAGATATTGTTTTCAGATAGCATGATGATTGGAGCTGTTGCTAATTAGCCAACCAAGAAAGGAAACATGAACAAAACACTGCCAATAGCACAACTAATAATGGGGTGGGGAGTGAGATCCTATAACATCCCTGTACCACCAAAACAACTTTGGTTTCTATGGTTTTAGCAATTGTTAGTTAGTTCATCTATTATTTACAGCCAGAACTATTTTGGGAATTTTTCCAGGGCCTACAGAATAAGATCTACTCATTTCTACACTATTGAAATGTGTTACCTAAGCTTGCGTTATCTAGACATTCAAGCCATTCCTGACTACTCCCATACCACACTATTTCCATTAGGGAACCCTAAGTGCCAATAAACTCTACAAAGTTCACTCAAGCATCTTACCATTTGTACTTGCTTTTGTAGCTGTTTTTTTGTAGGACATGTGATCATCTTAGATGTTCCTTCTTCCAAAACTTCAATTTTATTAGATGTTACTCCTGCCACTCATTCAGTCTTTACAGATGTTTCTTTTTCCTCCTGTGTGGTCTTTGAAGGTCTTTCTTGTGGCCATGCAAATTTCTCAGATGTTTCTTTCACAGGCCTTGTAATTTTCCTAGGTGTTTCTCCTGCTGACTGTTCAATCTTTCCAGATATTGCTTTCCCCAAACATTGAACTTCGTCAGATGTTCCCTCCACCAAGGGTGCAGCTTCATGTTGGAAATAACTTTTTGATGACACAAAGAAGAGTTAGCACTCCAGCAACAAGTTAACACTCCAGCAAGGCAAATTTACTTCTATAGAAGGGTGAGTCTTGCGGATGGAGCAATGGCAAGAGCATACTGGATAAGAGAGGGGAAAGGGTTCTTATTCCTAATGCAGCTAGTCCCTACTTTTGTGTCTCTCCCCTATTGGCTAGGGTTGGACTGCACACTCTAAGCTAATTTTGACTGGCTACTTCAAAGAGGACAGGGGTGCAAGCCAGAGTGGCAGGGTGGGTAGTTTCTGCAGGAAGGATGGTTACAGAGCGGGCGACTAAGGATGACTAAGGACAGAGCAGGTGACTAAGAATGACTAAGGACAGAGTAGGTGATAGGGACTAGGAGGGGGTCGTTTACTGAAACTAGGGTCAAGGAGGCATAAATAATGAGGAAGTTAAACTTTAAAATGGAGAACAAAGAATAGAGAAGCTGAACATATTGACATATTTGTTCTTTGAAGAGGAACTCAGAACTCACTGTGCTTAACAATCTTCCCTCTCTTGAATTTTAAAGGACATTAACAGGCTAAAACCTTTGAAGAGGAATTCACTGTATTCTACAATTCCCTCTTTCAATTTTTATAGCCCTTCCTCTTCAAACCTTTTTAACATGTCTTGGCTTTTTTTTTTTTTTTCAACTTGATCCTCTAAGAAGAAAAGCCTATCTGAATAAGGTGGAGGACAGCTAAGGGAGGTTTTAGAAAGTGTTGTTTCTATAAGCCTTTGCACTAGCCCATGGATGCATGGTATGACACAACACCCAACAAGAATGAGTACAGCCGTTACTTCTGTAAGAGAAGTAAGAATTGAGGCTATGATTTCTTTCCATTTACTGAAACACCTTTCTAGCCATCTGGAGAAAGGGTTATTGACCCCAGAATTTTTAGCTAATTCATTGGATAAAGTGGTAAATCCTTGTAGGGCCCTTGTTATGCTCCCATTGGGGGCAGTGTTGTTTGCCCCCAATGGATAAAGGTGTATCACTGAGTCTTAATCATAACACAAACACCACCTTTTTCAGCTAATATCATATCCAGGGCCATTCTGTTTTCCCAGGCCGTCTGGCTAGTTGGCCTCAATTGTTCTGCTATTCCTTTGACAACATCCCTGGTGGAATTAATAAACCACTGTTGATTATTATAGATGTAATTCATCAAATCTACATTTTTATTGTCACCCACCAAAATATTGATTCAAATCCTGTAGCTATTTGATCTTAGGCTTAAATGTATCTGGTACTCCTCATGGGATTCCAATAGCATCTAAATAAATGTGGGAGTCAAAAGACCTGTAAGGGACTTCCCTTGCTTTACAATGTTGTGTTTTCCCTTTTTCTGGTTGATGAAATGCCAGAGTGAAAAGTATAGCCAACAGGACTAGAGCACGAGGGCTGCTCCAATTACTTGGCAGAGTGTCCAGTAAAGGTCCACCACAATACCACCATACATCTGCTCAGGGGTGTAGAAGGGATGACTGATTGGTAAGCTCTTGGAAAGTCTTAAGCTTACTGCATCCTTTTAGGCCTCCAAACAATGCTAAGTTTCCTCCTTGTTGTGAGAGACATGAAGTGAACTTAGTGTCGGGAGACGGAAGCTGGATGGCCCTTGGAGGCTGACCTGCAGGGTGTTGAACTTTGGGATATAGCAGAGAGAGAGATTTACATGACTTGTTACCCCAGGCTGTGGAACCCTGGAAAAGAGCTACCATACAGACCATGCCTGGTCGACTGAAGGACCAACCTAGTGGAAAGGGGACAATCTGGGCCTCTGGTGTGCTGTGTGCACAAGCGTGACAATTGCCTTTGTTTAAAGTGCGAACGGAGTATTTGATGCATTCCAACCAGGCATTCACATCTTGATATCTTGTCTCAGTTGCCAAAGTTTGTTTTAGGTCTTTAACTTATACAATAGCTACCTTGGTCTTCTCATTAGATGGAGGAGGAACAACAGTTTCATTGTGAGAGTTTTTGGAAGAAGACTTAGGGGAAGCTGTAGGCAGTAGGGGAGCAATGAAGCATATTCCAAAAGATCCAATAGGATCTGTTTCTGAAAACTCAGACCCCATATCATAAAACCAGCTTAAAGAAGGGAATTGGCTTAGAGAAGGGGAAGAACTTTGAGGGTTTGAAATAATAACCTGTATTGGATCGCACTAGTTTACCTGAAAGTTAGGGGGAGCTATATCTTTAGTAAAATGAATGTATGGTTTTAGGAATTACAACTACTGGTTGGGGCAGTCCATCCTTGCTCTCACTTGCACGTAGTTGGACCAACTATGTCATAAAAGCTCTGTGTCAAGGGGGCAAGACTCCCAGTTGACACTGGGGTCTTCATTGAAACTTTCGCAGACTAAATGATCCAAATTCCCTAATGTCCAGTCTGAGGAGAGCCAGGAAGTACAGAGGTACTTTTCTGAAGTGGAGAGCTGTCTTCAACTTGACAAGTCTCCACAAGGTATAACAAGGCAAGGATCAAATATAATAGTTTCAGGCAAAATGGGTTCCATTTTCTGAGTCAATGTTTTCTATTAGCCTAAACCTGGGCAATATATTTTCAATTAAGGCCTTAACTACATCATTTGCCATCACGTTTGAAAAGGGAATAGCTTTGACCCAGTGAGTAAGGTGATCTACTGTCACTAGTAAATATTTTAGACGACCTATTGGAGGCATCTCTGTGTAATCAATCAGGATACTTTAAGTCTGGACTCCTTCTCCCAAGGGGTAATCTTTTTATAGTTTGTTTATTAGTTTTCTTACATACTAAGCAACTGTCTGTAACCTGTTTGGCCAGAGTATAAATTCCTATACACCCAAAAACTTTCAGAACTGTGTCACACATGGCTTGGGACCCCCAGTGGGTCCCTTGATGCAGTTGGGACAAGTTTTCCCTCATAAAGGGTTTGAACAACATTTCCCTCTGGTCTGACAATATTCATTTTTATTCTGAATTCTCTTTAGCACCTATTTTTATTAGTTTCTCTTTTCCGTGGAAGAGAAAATGGAGATTATGGTAGGAGGAGGAAGGTAAAGAGTTCAGTGAAAAATAGATGTTTTAAAAGAAATGGCAGCCTGTTTGCCTATGTAATCTGCTAGGCTATTTCCTGGACTGTCAAAAGAAAGACTTTTCTAGTGTCTGGGGACATGGACAATCACTATTTCTTCTGGCAACTGAAGGTTATTCAATACTTAGGTGATTAGATCCTTATGAACAAGATCTTGACGTTTACTATTAATGAGACCTCATTCAGTCTAAATTTTTCCAAATGTATGAGCCACTCCAAAGGCATACTTAGAATTGGTATAGATGGCTACTTCCTGGTTCTGCAAGTACTTTAAGGCTCAGCTGAGTGCAAACAGCTCACAAGTTTGGGCAGACCAATACTTAGGCAATTTTCCTGCCTCAATTTCTTCAAGAGTTTCCCTATCAATTACTGAATACCCATTGCATCTTTTTGCCTCAATCACCTGGGAGCAACCATCTATAAATAAGTGTCATCCCATCCTGAAGGGAGTTTCTCCTAGGTCTGGTCAGACCTTTGTATGGTAATCAGTTAAATCTAAACATGTGTGCTATCTCTTTATATTTGGATCCCCTATTAGGAAAACTGCTGGGTTAAGGGAATTATCAGTGGTTAATGTTAAATCATCTTTTTCTAACAGAATAGTCTCACACTTTAAGATTCTTGAGTCAGTAAGCCACCTCCCTGCTTTCTGGTTTAAGATAGTTCTAACTTGATGGGGCGTTATTACTGTCAATTTTCCTCCAAAGGTTAACTTCCTGCTTTCTTTGACCATTAGTGCTGTAGCCACAATGGATTGGATGTATTGAGGCCACTCA
Organism: Homo sapiens; assembly: GCF_000001405.40. Classification (NCBI taxonomy): domain Eukaryota; kingdom Metazoa; phylum Chordata; class Mammalia; order Primates; family Hominidae; genus Homo; species Homo sapiens. The sequence continues at coordinate 15,311,857 of NC_000018.10, forward strand.
CAAGTAACTGGATCTAAGACTTTTGACAGGAAGGCCACATGGGCTGCCGATGGCCTCCGTGTTCTTAAGTGAGCACTCCTAAAGCTACCCCATTATGCAGGTTGACAAAAAGGTGGAATGGCTTTTCTAGGGAAGGTAAGGCTAAGAGAGGGGCTGTTATAAGCCTTTTTTTCAGCTCTTCAACCTAATCGACTTCCTCAGAAGTCCACAGGAAATGGTCAGTCTTCCCCTGGGCAAGTTTTGGATATAGAATTTTACTGTTTAGTGCATGTGAGTTAATCCATAAGCAGCAGTATCCAAATAACCCTAAAAATGTCCTGAGTTCTTGTTTAAGTTTGAGGCAAGGGTAGGGACACGATTCCCTCAACTCGTTCAGACCCTATTCTTCACTTCTCTGCACTTATCAAGTGGTCTAAATATTTAATTTCAGGTTCTACATACTGAAGCTTTCCTTTTGAGACTCATAACCCCTCGAACTGCAGATGGTTGAGAATATGTGTAGAGAAGCCAGCTACCTTCTCTATATCTTCACCAGATATAAGAATATCATCAACGTATTGGAGCAGGCATATTTGTTTGGGATGATAACTTTTTCTAATACTTGTTCTAAAATTTGACTGAAAAGGTTAGGGGAGTTTGTGAACCCTTGGGGTAAGACTATCCATCGATATTGTTGTTTCTACCTGAATGGGGATCCTCCCACTCAAAAGCAAATATATCTGGCCTATCTTCAGCCAGGAGACATACCCAAAAAGCATCCTTCAAATCTATTACAGTAAACCATTGATTATTATATGGAATCTTGCTGAGAATGGTGTAAGGATCGAGGACAATGGGGTGGGTAGTTTGGACTATTTGGTTAATAGCCCTAAGGTCCTGTACCAGCCGATATGACCCATCTAATTTCTTGGCTGGCAATATTGGGCTGTTATAAGGGGACATAGAGGGCCCAAGAAGCCCATCTGTAATAGACCTTCAATTATAGGTTTCAACTTTATCCTGCCCTCTAGGGGAATGGGGTATTGTTTCCTCCTTACTACTTCCCTGGGGTTTTTTACCTTGATGTGCTTGGAGGGACTCAGAGTTTCCCTCAGTTTCCTTCTTTGGATCAGACATTAGAATTAATATATTTTTCATCTGCAGTGGTGAGTAGCTTTAATGAGGTGAGGAATCTTCTTGGGCTGAGTTGCAGGCCTATGCCTAACTTCAACATTAAATCCCTGCCTAGTAAATTAGTCCCTGCTTTAGGGATTAACAAAAACTGAATATGAGCTGATTGAGCCTGGTATCTGACTTCTGTGTTTTCTAAAATTTTTGCTTTAAATCCTTCTCCCTTTACCCCACAAACCAAAAGTTCCTCTGAAGAGCAGGCGATATTAGATGGGGGGGGAAACAGAGGATCGAGCCACTCCTGAATTGACTAAAAAGGTTATAAACTCATGCTTAGGTCCCACTTCTAGACTTATCAAGGGCTCCTGGTGGGACTCAAGATAAAAGAGACAGAACCCCTGACACCATTATTCTTCCTCAAAAGCCATGAGTGGAAGGGCTTCTTTTTCCTTTTCTAATTTGGGACATTCTCTCTTGAAGTGGCCTGTTCTTCCACATTTGTAGTGCCTACCTTGCCCTTCCCCACTCTCAGTTCTGGGATTCTTTGATTTTACTCCCCCATGCTATTTAGATGGCCTGGTAGACAAGAGCCTTGATCCTCCCAGTGGAGGCTTGGGTCCTTTAAAGGAGGGTTTGGAACCTTTACAGTTTCTGGCCCACTGGAAGCTCTGTTTAGGGGTACATGGGTTTGGAGCCATCTGTTGGAAGGTGAATAACATAAGTTTTGTCTTTTGTTTTTGCTTTTCTTCGTCTCTCTTCACAGATACTTTTTGAGTCTCTCTGAGGTTCACTTGAGGTCACTTCACTTGAGGTTCACGTCTCATTGAAGTTCACTTGAAGTCAGTTTTCCCAATCTTCTAATTTTTGTAACTTTTTTGAAATATCTGGACAATGTTGGCCAGGTACAGTGGCTCATGCCTGTAATCCCAGCACTTTGAGAGGCTGAGGTGGGTGGATCACGAGGTCAGGAGATTGAGACCATCCTGGTTAACACGGAGAAACCCCGTCTCTACTAAAAATACAAAAAATTTGCTGGGCGTGGTGGTAGGCGCCTGTAGTTCCAGCTACTCGGGAGGCTGAGGCAGGAGAATGGAGTGAACCTGGGAGGCGGAGCTTGCAGTGAATCAAGATCGCACCATTGCACTCCAGCCTGTGTGACAGAGAGAGACTCCATCTCAAAAAAATAAAAAGAGACATCTGGACAACTTTTAGTGACAAAAATGGAGATTTAACATTCCCTGTCCCAGGGGATTTTCCAAATTTAGGCCTGCATATTTTCTCATTTGCTCCTTTAGTCTGTCTAAGAATTTCATAGTCCACTCATCTCTCTCCTGTTATATATCAAATGCTTTAGAGAGATTCTGAATTTAGGGTACTGATTTCCTAGTTTCTTTCATTATCATTTCCCTTATGTCTTGCATGTTTTCTTGGTGAGCTGCTTTATTATTATCCCACCGAGGATCTTGGGCAGGGAATTTTTGGTCCGTGGTAGGAACGTTTTGACAAGGAGTGTGTTCATATTCCCAAATTGCCATAGCAGCCCTATGGATCAGATCATGCTTCCTTCCTCCTCCGAAAAGAGGATGCCTAGGATGGACATAAACTTGACCAAAGTGTATAACTGAGGTCCCAAGAATTGATCAACCTGATCTGCCACCTCATAAGGGTCGTCTAACAATGGCTTAATTTCCTTTTTCAAACTTCAGACTTCTGAACTGGTCAAGGGAGCATTCACAAATACAATGGCTCCTCCTCCTTGTGGCATGTCTTTTAAGGGGAAGAGAGTTGGGGCCGACTCTTTAGATGTGGAGGGAAAAGGGAAGCTCTGAACGTCCTTTTTACATTGCTGTACCTCATGATGGAGTCCCTTTAGGGAGAGGTATTTAAGCTGACAGGGGACAGGCTCATGGGATGATAACTCCCAAGAATTAGAGTTGTAAGGAGGAGTAACAGCGTGAGCAGGAGAAGGATCTGGGGTGGGAGATGGGGTGGCAGCAGCTGCCCGAGGGGAAGGGTCAGAGGCACTGAGCAGAGCAAAATGGTATAGGGGATCCCATGTGCTGGCTTTAGGTGTGGGAGTCAGCTCGTCTGACTTTTCAATTTGAGATACTGGATCGGGTTCTTCCCTAGTTGTCTTTACGGGAATAAAGACAGGTCCCTGTCTCCAACAAAGAGCATAGTCTAGTTCTTCTTGAGAAACCAGATTTTTATCATTAACATATTGAATTAGAAGTTGACATATTACATTCTCAATCGGCCCAAACTTTGGCCAGAAGATTGAGTGTTTGAAAATGGGAACTTGGGTCCAAATGAAACAGCAATATTTTATCCTCTAATGCTTTTTCTTATGTTTAGTACTCTCATTATCCTTCCAATATTTTAACATGAGACCCAGGGGACTATCAGGGGCATGTCTTTGTTACTATCCTCTTCTTTTTTGCTCCCTATCTTACTTGGGTCTTTTCCCATGTTAGGTCCTGGTTAGGCTCAATCCCGCATGCTAGAGATTTCTTCCCTATCCTTTATCCCCACCTGCTGGAGGCTCCTCGCACCCTTCTTTCACTTCATCCACTCTGGCTGCTTCCCTCCCAGGAATTTTAGGTCCCTCTTAGCATTGGCATCATGGTATAAACCCCACAGCAAGATCTGCCCTGAGCCCTATGAGGATACAGTGAATTCCTCTCCAAAGGTTTTTTATTCAAATAAAAAACCGCAGTTAGGACCCACTCACTCCTCACAGCAATAATGCTTAGTATCATCCACACAAAGAGCACCACAAGCAGTAGTGCTTGTGATCATTCACACACACTTTCAACCTCCAGAATATCCCAACCACCAAGGAAATACTTTGTCACCCCTGCGACATTTCTTACCTCGGTCTGTGCACAGTTACCTGGTCGCCACGGTATGTGAAGATCCTTTCCCCAAAGTTGCTGGTCTGTTTCTTTCCACGTTGCTGAGAGCCCGGATTTATTAATCGCACCAGTTGAGTCTTGATTCCTTACCTTTATGGCCACTGCAACGAGGCAGCGGGGTGCGCCTCCTCAAGGGAGAGGACTGGACCCTCCCCCAGAGGAGAATGGGAATGCTGGGTGGGCCCTCAAATTTGTGGAAAATAATTTTCGTTGCCGCAAAGAACCGTCAGCACTCCAGCAACAAGTTTTTACAGCAAGGCAAATTTACTTCTATGGAAGAGTGGTCTTGCAGATGGAGCAAAGGCAAGATCACACCAGACAAGGGAGGGGAAAGTGTTCTTATTTCTAACTCAGCTAGTCCCTACTGTTGTGTCTTTTCCCTATTGGATAGGGTTGGACTGCACACTCTAAGCCAATTCAGATTGGCTATTTCAAAGAGGGCAGGGGTATGAGCTGGAGTGGCAGGGTGAGTAGTTTCAGTGGGAAAGACAGTTACAGAGCAGGTGTCTAAGGATGACTAAGGACAGAGCAGGTTACTAAGAATGACTAAAGACAAAGCAGGTGTTAGAGGCTAGAAGGGGGTTGTTTAATGAAACTAGGGGCAAGGAGGCATAACGAACGAGGAAGTTAAACTTTAAAACGGAGAACAAAGAACAGAGAAGCTGAACATACTGACATATTTGTTCTTTGATGAGGAACTCAGAACTCATTGTACTTAATCTTCCCCCTCTTGAATTTTAAAGGATATTTACAGGCTAAAATCTTTGAAGAGGAATTCACTGTATCCTATTCATCAGGTGTTCTTTCCACCAAGCTTTCAGCCGTGTCAGGTGTTCTTTCTGCCAAGGGTGCAGCCTCATCAAGTGTTCCTTCAGATGTTCCTTCTGCCAAACACACAGTCTGGTTAAATTTTCCTTCTGCTAAATATCATCCTTCTGACTCTTTACCTGGAAAACTTCTACTCATTCAGCTTGCTTTCCTTAAATACTACCAAACTTTTGTTTTCTCCTTTTTTTTTGTTTTTTTTTTTTGAGACAAGAGCCTCGCTCTGTTGCCCAGGCTGGAGTGCAGTGGCACGATCTCAGCAGATCACTGCAACCTCCGCCTCCTGGGTTCATGAAATTCTCCTACCTCAGCCTCCCATGTAGCTGGTATTACATATGCATGCCACCCAGGCCCAGCTAATTTTTTGTATTTAGTAGAGATGGGATTTCACCATGTTAGTCAGGGTGGTCCCAAACTCCTGTGCTCAAGCAATCCGCCCGCTTTGGCCTTCCAAAGTGCTAGGATTACAGGAGTGAGTCACCGCTCCTGGACACTACCAAACTTTTTAAAGCTTTAATTCTTCACGTTGGATATAAAATGTCTGACACATACTGAATATGGTAATGACATAATAAGTGATAATTATAAGCTCCCAAAGGGGTTCTGGCACAGAGGAAGCACTAAATAAAGTAGTAAATAATAAAAAAGATGATAATAACAAGAAAAATGCTTAGTACCTTAATAAAGTAGTAAATAATAAAAAATGACAATGATAATAACAAGAAAGATGCTTAGTACCTTAAAGATACCTGACAGTTATTTGTTAAGTGGACAAGTGGATAAACAAATAGAAAACATAGTTAGGAAATTCTGTTGGAAAAATGAAGAAATTCAATAGCGACAGCTCTATTGTATTATGAGCACCTTAAAGACCCAGACTATGTGTATTCCATGTTGGTCTCCTGCAACTTGCAAAATCTAACTTACAGAAGTCCTTTGATAAATATGTAATAAATTAAAGATGTGTTCATACAGTTCATATTGTACAATGTATTGTGTCACATTTAGGTATCACAGTAGCACTTTTGCTATTGTGAAAATTTTTTCCACTTTTATTATAATTCGTTGAGCCTAGAGTTGAGCTAGTTGTATATTTATAATGATAATATTTTGGCTAGTAGGAACAGAGTAACTTGTTGTAACAAAATTACTATTAACACACTAATTATCCAGCAGATAGAACAACACATCTTGTTCTAATGAAGTAAATATATCTTATTTGGTTTCAACTTAGAGGGAATGAAGTTGATAATAGTGAGACCTTGTTGGTACAAGACTTTGTAACATAACCTGTGCTTCTCAACAAAGAATTGCTTTTCTGACTTCTGCACTCAGTAGGTATCTTTGAAAAATAATCTCCTATTGGTACTGATGCACCCTTGCTAAGTTATGTTAATTCTTATTGACATTCATTTATGGTGCAAGAAAAGTATTATTGAGTTCCAAATTCTAAAGATAGTTACTTTTTTAGTGACGAAAGTCACTATGCCACACAGTTGATCTTTGAATAAGGGTTCTCACTCTAGGAGCCCACTAATAGACAGATTTTTTCTTTTCCTTTGTCACTGCAAGATACTAAGACAAATCTCGCCTCTGCCTCCTCCTTATCAGCCTACTCAACATAAAGGCAATGAGAATGAAGTCCTTTATGTATAATAATTCACTTCCATCTAATAAATAGCGAATATATTTCTTCCTCTTTATAACAGTTTCTTTTCTCCAGCTCACTTTATTCTAAGAATACAGTATATAGTACATATAAAATAGAAACTATGGGTTAATTGACTGCTTATGCTTTCACCTTTTTTCAGGCTCCAGGTCAACAGTAGAATGTTGTAGAGTTTTGGAAGAGTCAAAAGAAACAGATTTTCCTATAAAGCAGATTTTCAGCTGCATGGGGGGATCAGCACCCTAACTCTCATGTTGCTCAATACTCAACTGTAATTAATTCTAATTTTCTAAATGCAAATCATTTATTGTAAAAATTAAATAAAGCCCAGAAATTCAAGACCAGCCTGGGCAACATAAGGAGACCATGTCTCTACAATAAAGAAACAAACAAATAAATTATTTATTTGTTTATTTAACAAATAAACATTTTATATGTTTATGTTTAATAAACAAACAAATAATTATGTATTTGTTTATTTAACAAATAAACATTTTATATGTTTGTTTATGTTTAATAAACAAATATTTGTTTATTTAACAGTTTAACTGTGTTCCTTTATAGGTTATAATATTCAAATGTTGCAGTTTTCTGTTATTAATTCCTACTTTTCATTATTAGAAGTTCTATTATTTGTGGCTTGTAATTCAAGGCACCTAAGCTATTTTATAATTTGTAATAAAATTTATTTATAAATATAATAATTCATTAAATTGGATAAGCTGATAATCCCCTATTACTGAGCTCATCAATCACACCAAGGATTATACATTTTATAACAAGCATAAATTTTTATGACAGTTGAGGAAACATACAACAGATAAACTTAAAAATTGTTTTACTTATTTATACAAAAGTATTATATAGGATATTAGGGACCACTATTAAACAAATATTTTTTCAGATAATATTTTTGAGATTATAAACTACCTATAACTAAATTCTTAATGAATTCTGAATTATAAACTAAAAAATTAAATCAAAGCTTTGTATATAAAATAACACATATAGGTCTATATGTAAACACATGCTACTTACACATTGCTTTTCTAATAGCTCTTTTGTGATTAACACTCCTATAATCTTATGGTAGCACCACCAAGAGTAGTTTACTATCAGAGGTCTTACCTGGATTACTATTTTGAGAATTTTTAGATATCTTTTGTTTATATTCCAAAAGTTGTTGATGAATGCTATGTATAAAAATGAAATAAATAAAATCACTATTTTAACATTGATATAAAAAAATTTACCAAATTTATTACATTCTTAGAGTATTTCAGACAATATTAGAACTAACATCAGAACATTACTTTTTCCATAGACTTTAAGTTTGTAAGCTCTATGAACTTATTAAGCTTCTAATTAAAGAAGAAAGAAAGATAAAACACTCATGAAGTGAGGGCAGTATAACTCAGTAAATTAACTAAAGTTAGCTTGACATATGGAAAATGTCCTTAACTCGGAATAAGTCCTAGCATGGCTACCAACAGGTATTTTTTCTTGAACAAGTTGCTTCTCTTAGACTCAATGTCTTCTAAAAATGAGGATTTTAGGGCCTTATTTCACTAGGTTATTATAAAGATTTAACAAGATAACATTTTAAAAATGCTTAAAATAAAAAATGAAGCAAAAAAATTATTTGTTCTTGAAACTTATTGCTGAAACAATTTAAAATTCCCAATAAAACCCAATATATTGGCCTGGTGCAGTGGCTCGTGCTTGTGAGGCAAGCACTTTTGGATGCTGAGACAGGAGGATTGCTTGAATCCAGAAGTTCAAGACCAGCCTGGGCAACATAGGGAGACCATGTGTCAACAAAAATTAAATTACAAAAAAAAACAAAAACAAAAAAATGTTTTTCTTCATAGGTTATAATATTCAAATATTGCAATTTTCTGTTATTAATTCCTACTTTTGGATATTAGATGTTCTATTCTTTGTGGCTTGTAATTCAGAGCATCTAAGCTATTTTATATTTTGTAATGAAATTTATTTATAAATATATTAAATCATTAAATCAGATAACCTAATTATACTCTATTACTGAGCTCATCAGTCACACCAAGGGCAGAAAACTAATAGATGTCAGCATCTGGCTTGGACTACTACTACTCTTCATCTACCTCCTTAAACTCTGAACCAACAAATCTTTGTTAGAATGATGCTTAGTCACTATGTTCATTTCCAGCTGCTGTGGAAGACAAAACCCTACCTTTATTTTTTGTAAGTTCCACAAAGAAGATGCAAGTTGGTATTTTCTCATTTCTGAGATCCCTACTAACAAAATATTGCACACAAGATCCTATGTGTTACCACAACTCATTTCATAGATCACCTTACGTAAATAATTTCTTGTATGAAAATCACAATTGCAATACTGGGTGTCACCCATTTTGCTTTGACTCACACCATTTCCTTGGAGCTAGTTAGAAAGTAGTAAAATGTCCTTTTGGGGACTGCAAGAAATATGCAACACCTTACAGATTTCTATGTCATCCTTGTGCGGGGACCATGCTGATCTTCTCAACGTTCTTAATTTTACTATATGTACCACTGAAGCCAGCACAAATCCTTACTTTTATATGTGAAGACTGATCAGTGATGGATGAGGCTTAGCTCTGTTAAATCTAACCAACTTACTTGAGATTTAGTGAAGTCTATTGAATGGCTTCATGGTGATGCAGCATTTGAAAATATTTTAGAAACTCGAGGTGGAGATGTAAGTAGCATGGGAGATTTTTACTTTTAGGAAAAAAGAATCACGTGAGGGGACAACCACAAGTTGGAACCCACTACAACTTGGGAAAGATGACATGGGATTTTATAGAATAAGATGAGACCTTCCACTACCTACAAAATGGTGCTACACAGGATATAAAGGGCCAGGGATATAGATCTGGTAACAAAGACAAAATGGATCTCTAATTTCTTCCTGTAACATTATTTCAACCTGACTTACAGTTTCAAACTACCACAACTAATATTGGCTAGAGAAAATAGAAAAAAGCCACTCAAAGGATAACTTACCATGAAGGTCTAGGCCATGTCCAGGCTAAGATGTGGGTTTCACATCAGGTTTTGAGTGTGAGGAGAAGGGTCCATTTGCTCACTATGTGTGTGGCTAAAGCTAAAAGTTCTAGCTGCCAGAGTGGGGTGCTGGTACTTTGGAAACAATGGCTGAGAATATGTACGTGAACTTTAAAAACATGTCATAACTTGGAAGTCTATACCATGAAGACTGAGGAATCTGTGTTAGTAAGGGCATCCTGGTCACAAAGGTCAATCATTACCAGACTGCAGGAGCAGTTTCAATGGCAACGATGCAGCAACAGAATCAATGGAAACAGCAAAATGAAGAGAATGGCCATTTCCCACCCCCCAATCCTTCTGACTTGTACAAAAGGAATGTCTTCCTTGGACTTAGGTTCAGATTCTTTTTAAAAATTCAAGAATGAAGGTATGGAAGACAACCCCCTGGGGACACTATCAGGTTTTCTGCCTAAAGTGGACATTTTGAGACCCAAATAACTAATTAGAAAAACCAAAATTTTGACATTATATTTATCCCATGCATAGGGGTTATACTTCAAATCAAGTAGACAACATTAGCGTCCCTAAAGCCCTAAAATAAAGAATCCTGGAGCCATTAATCTTTCTAACTAGTCTAGCTTTTTGCCTAGTTTCTGGCTGATGAAGTGAACTAACTCACTGTCATTCAAAAACTACCTGAAACAAACTATAAAATCTCACCTAGCCTTTAAATGTAAACACTTAGAGATTAAATCCACAAGCAACAGCATAACGTTCTGCAATCATTCCACATGTAGCTTCAGCACAGATGTCAACATTTTGCTGAAGAACCATGCCAACTATCTCTGATGATCCATGACATATGGCAAGCATGAGGGCTGTGCTAAAATAACAGAGATAACTTCATTATTAGGAAGGAACCAATTTAATATGTGCCTGTCAGTATAGAATTAACCATTTACATGTATTAACAAATGTTAAGTATCTTGAGTGCTCAAGTGTTTATCCTTGTAAATCATGACCAAGGCTAAAAGGAAGGGGTGAAAAGACTCATGTCTCACTGGGATATGGCATAGTAGAATTGGCTAACATAAAGTCCACTGAGGGGCAAGAAAATATGTTCTGTTCACTAATCTAAAAGAGGCAAAGTTTTAAGTGAAGAATTATCTATTTCCTCCTTAGTCTGATATAATATTTTGTACTTCAAAATTAGCTAGAAGTTGGACAAGTGAGAGCAATCTGAAGACTTAAAACAATATTAGGAATAATATTGTCCTGAGTACCTGGGACTACAGGCTTGTGCCACAATGGTTGGCTAATTTTTATATTTTTCATTGAGATGGGGTTTTACCATGTTGGCTAGGCTGGTCTTGAACTCCTGGCCTCAGGTGATCTACCCACTTGGCCTCCCAAAGTGCTGGGATAACAGACAACAGCTACCATACCCAGAAAATATTGCATTTTTAAAAAGTGTATGAAAAACAGAAGTTAGTAAAATACTATAAAGGTGTTAATAATTCAATATTGAATTATAAAGTAAACTAAAAATTTATACTTCTTAAAACTAATACAGAACCACTTTAGCTAATAGAAGATAATTCAACCAAAAACATCAGATTACAAATAAGAATCAGTCAATATAATAAAAGAAGAAAATCCTACTGTATACTGTTCTTTGTGTTGACCAGTCCAAATAATTGCTTTTCTTCCTAACTGATAATTTGTGTTGGTATTTTTCTGTATAATCTAATAATTTTAAGTAAATGTTATTAATTTAATATTTCTGACTTGAGTGTTATTACTCTAGCACACTACTCAAGTGTTTTTTAATAAAAAAACTACTATACCATTTAAACTTATCAACTGCAATTGCATTTGCATTTTTTGTCAGTAAAAATTCCACAATTTGCTCACTTCTTTTCCTTATGGCCAATAAAAGTGGTGTGTGGCCAGCCTGTAAAACAGCAAAAACAATTTATAATTCATGAAATTACATATTTCTCAGCTCAATTGAATACCTTATATAATATCCTATGAACTTAAACAATGGAAAGTAAATCAATAGCAATCCCTTCTTTCTCACTTTTCTGTGCTTTCCCATGCACTGCACCTTCTCTTGTAAACATTCAGCCTCTGCATCACCACATTAACTCTGGTTATCTCCAAAAATCATTACATTGTAATGATTTTATTGTTTCCCATGTAAACCAAGAGCTTCTTGAGGGCAGGGGCTGTATCTTTTACCTCTCTATCCTTAAACCCTAAGACATAGTAGTAAATACTTTATTTTTTACTAAATTAGTAATCTAAATTATTACCTCTAGAACAGTGTTTCTTCAACTTTATTCCAAAGAATAATTACCTTACCAGAAGCACTGTACCCCAATAGATTCCACCATTATCTATGTTCAAGAAATGTTATAAAACTGTGAATTAAATGTTCATTATTCAAGAAATGAATTGAACTTTACCTAATTCTTATTTGACAGTATATTTTTGTGGCAAACATTAACATTTGACAAATTAGAATTTCAGGGATGCAGTTTTGAAAGCTTCCCCCCAAAAATGGAGGTTTCCTCTGGGTGATACAGACTCACTTGATTCTCTTCTATCAATGATCCCAAGATTCCAAATGCCAATGTCAGGCACTCCTGCTCTAAATGAGTCACTAAGGAAGTGGCTCTAAATTAAAAGAGATTGGCTTCAAATGAACTTTGATTGCTTATTCTTAAATGGTCCATGGGGTTTATCCTATTACCAGACAATAGGATTTTATCTCAGCTATTAGAAATTCAGTATAAAAGGCCAGGCAAAGTGGTTCATGCCTGTAATCCCAGCACTTTGAGAGGCCAAGGCGGGCAGATCACAAGGTCAGGAGATCGAGACCATCGTGGTCAACATGGTGAAAGCCCATCTCTGCTAAAAATACAAAAAATTTAGCTGGGCGTGGTGGCACATGCCTGTGTCCCAGCTACTCAGGAGGCTGAGGCAGGAGAATCGCTTGAACCAGGGAGGTAAAGATTGCAGTGAGCCGAGATCACACCACTGCACTCCAGCCTGGTGACAGAGCAAGGCTCTGTCTCAAAAAAAAAAGAAAAAGAAAAAAAGAAAAGAAATTCAGTATAAAAGTTTATTCTCTATTATAATGATACTCCTAGGATCCTAATGCATATCTACTTCTTAAAATTCAATAATCCATTTTTATTCTGGTTTCTATTGTAATTGATACTATTTTTTGGCAAAATATCAGAAGTATGAATAAAATGGCTTATTAATGAAAGTTCTAACTCATGTATGTGGCTTAGCAAAATAGAAGCCACTAAATCACTTGACTTTTAAGGGACAATTCTGTGGAGAAAGATATAATATTTTTTCTGCAATATGCATAACCTATTCAAATATAACCATGATTAATCTAAAAAGGCTTAAAGGCCTTCTAATAGAAGATGATTATTTATGGTTTATATGAAGAAAAATCATCATTTAAAAAATATTCTAAATTCTAGAAGACAACCCCATTATTAATGAATTAATGTAAAATATAAACTACATATTATAAACACCTATAAACTGTCTTCAATAACTTGAAATCTTTACCAAAATGTACTATGAGAGAGGAATTGATAACTGAAATATTTACAGAGGCAAAATAGGTAAGTTGAATAAGTGATGTAACTAGGTGGGCACAGTAGCAAACTGGAAACATATGCTTTATGTAAAACTAGAATGTCTTCATAGTATACCAAACAGTTATACGGGCTCAAGATTCAATCCTTTAAGAGGAAATCCAGATTTCTGCATGTCTCCTAAATTTTACATGTTGACTCAATTTATGCAGGCAAATTTTACTTTCTTGTAGTTTTACACTAACTGGAAAGAAAAAAAAAACTTGGGTGGGAAAGAATATTTGAAAATGTTTTACCTTTAACAAATTTAAATATTTATCATAATGCACAGAAAAGCCATACTAATAGTTCTTGTAAAAATATTAATATTTAAAGCAAAATCCTAGACAATTAAGTTTTGTCAAACTATTTTCATAGAAAAATAGGAATGTTTGAGCTTCCAAATATAAAACAATTTACATATGTTAATGTTAAAACAAACGGATTTCAAATATTTTGAAAATAACATTGGTTAATGTCTACCTTGTTCTTCAATTCAATGTCTGCACCACAGGACAGCAATTTTGCCACCACTGACAAATTCTCACTGTTAACAGCATAATGGACAGCTGTGTTGCCATACACACCTACAATATTTGGATCAGCACCAGAATCTATGAGAATATTTGCACAAGCCTCCCTCTGGCATTGCAGAGCCTGTCAGTATTAAAGCAAGAAGTAAATTATAAATTATAGGAAATATAAATAAATATTCCACAGGTTTCACAAACTAGTTATATTTCAATGAGATAAATTCATTTTTATTCTACGTATTTAAACCACATCCATCTCCTGCTGAAAGAACTGGCTACCATTTACCTTCATCAGAGTTGTCCTGTTTTCACCATCAAGGACGTCAAGCTGGTACTTTCTATCTGCCAGAAGTGTTACTACTTCTGCATGGCCATTGGCACAGGCCCAGTGTAGAGCAGTCCTACGAGAGTGAGAAGCCTTTTAAGGAAAGTTTAGTCCACTGTCTCAAAACATAGAATGATTTATGTAATTGTCAACATTAAATACCATGCTCTTTCTCTGCCTTCAAAACAAATATTTAATATTCTCCTGAAGAAACTACAACATTCATTCACTGTTATTACTCACTACATTAATGAAAGAGTGGCCTATTTGAATAGAAAGAGCTTGGCCTTTGGATTCAGTTCAACTTGGGCTTGAATATTACTTTAAAGTCTTTCACCTTCTAGCTATCACTTAACCTTTCTGTGCCTCAATTTTCTCATCAATAAAGTGAAGATGAATACAGCAGTTATCTCACAGGACATCACTGTGATGCCTCATGAGAATCTGTGCAATGTATTTCGAAGAATTCCTAGCACATGTAACAGCTCAGTAATTGATAGATATTGTAATTATTTCTACTACTTAACAAAGAAAACATTTTAAGTTAAATGGTACAATTATGCCTACTTTGTGGTATGTTTTAAAGGTTAGAGATAAAACTATTTTAATAATTCTAAGATACTCTATTTCTCATATTTTAACATCTCTGACATTGAAATGCCACTTATAAGTCATTCTTTGTTACAAGTATATTTTGCAGAAATTTAAACGATCTTTTATTGGTACATAAATAAGGAGGCATCACACCATTCACCGTGCCTTCCATGAAGTGGAATATGGTATATACAACAGGATGATGGCAGTTGTAGTCATAGGATTAACACTTAAAGAAATTTTAGCTTTTAAGAGTGCTATACAAAAGGAGAGTTGAAATAAAAACAAACTGTTAAAACAAAGTACTTCTTTAATATTTTTAAAACTTCAAGCCAAAGAAAACTTGGGATTCAAGTAGGTATGGCTCATTTTATTCCATGTTTAGATTTACAGAATGTATGTAAATTCATATTTAAATTTATAGAATGCATGTAAATTAGGTATTTCCAATGATTAATATTACTATTTAAAGCTGTTATAAATTTCCAAAATCGTGGTTGGTAGTTATCTTTTACTAGTTTCTTACTTCAGAAGTGTTTTTGTTTTAAAGATGAGAGGAAAAGCTTCAATTGAGATTCATTCCTAGTACTCCAACTTTAAATCTCTCACTTTGCTAAGGCTGAGCAGGTAAATGCGAAATTTTTAAGGATGAAAGGATCTTGAGAGTTAATGTATCTTCTACATAATAGGCATTCAGCTTACATGTGATAAATTGATTAAAAGGATAAATACAGTTGAAAAGTTCAATACCTTAAAAAAACTGCTATAAATAAAGCACTTATATTTTCTATTTTATTTTCTTAATAATAAAACTACACTAATTAATCTATAATTATTGACATATATGTAAGAAATCTATATATAATAAAAATATGTGCCTAATAAGATGTATATGTAAATCAACAAGCACAGGTAAAAAGACTGTCTTTTGAAGATGTTAAAAGTTCACAGAATATACTAATCCACAAAAAATAATAATTAAAATATGGAAAGTGAGAAATTATTTTTATTGGTGCAAAATTATATCCCTGCTCTTCCCAAAAATTATTTCATTAATAATAAACTTTTTCTAATAGCATTGTACATGCTCAATGTGGAAATCAAAGATAATAAAAAGGAAAAACATTTTATATTAAAACAAATGCCCTCAAATAACAAATGTTATCATATTTCATACACAACTTCAGATAACGCAAGACTGTAGTCTGTGTGTATGTATAATCAAAGTGAACTTTACCCTCACTTGATACACCAAAATACATTTTCAAATGTCACCTACTTCTCTACATATTTCTACCTTTAGTGGTCACATATTATCCCATGCTGTAAATTCACTGAAATGTATTTATAAAAGTCATTATATGGATTCTTCTTAATAATATGGTACTTACCACCAAATTGTCTATTTGAAAAGGTATCTGCAACTTAAACTTTAAACAGCAGTATAAATATCACTGCTCTTTATCCTCACAAACTTTGTAGATAGAAAGCAGTATTTGATTCCTCTTTTAACTTAAATGCCTTCTGTAACCAGGAACACTAAATATTGTTTTCTGCGTGCATAGGTCACTTACAGATCTTAAGAAAATACTTTCCAAATTTTAAATTAGAAGCAAAGTACTATTTTTAGATCTGCAATTTAGATCTCTAATTTAAATTGCTCAATTTTAAATTAGAGGGTTTTTTTGTTGATTTAAGTGAATTATCTATAAAATGATGATTTAAAAATCTAATATGTATACACACACCCACATACATGTGTAGTAAATATTTTACAAGTATGCTGCCTTTTATTTTTTCTCATTACAGTTTAATTTAATTTTGTTTTGCTTAATTATCCTTCAGACTGCTTGCTTCTGAGCTTCTTAGAAAGGTGTTGTCAACATAAAAATGTACCTGTGTAAATAGGCATTTATGTTTTCTTCTGGTGCTTTTATCATTTTGTATATTCCGTCAGAAATTTACTTTGTGGCATAAAAATCTAGTTTTCTCCAAAAAGCAGGCATTTCACTTATGAAACTAATTCTTTCCCTACTAGTATAAAGTGTGAGCATTATCAAATTCTGAATTCTTAGATATTTGGGTGTTTCTGGATTTTCTACTGTGTTGTATTCATTTACCTGTCTTTTCAGCTGTTATCAAATAATTTGTGATTCATTTATTTATTTTTGAGACAGAGTCTCACTGTCGCCCAGGCTGGAGTGCAGTGATGGGATCTCAGCTCACTGCAACCTCTGCCTCCCAGTTTCAAGCGATTCTCCCTCCTCAGCCTCCCGAGTAGATGGGCTTACAGGCTCCGGACATCATGCCTGGCTAATTTTTGTATTTTTGTAGAGTTGGGGTTTCACTATATTGGCCAGGCTAGTCTTGAACTCCTGACCTCAGGTGATCCACCCGCCTCGGCCACCCGAAGTGCTGGGACTACAGGCATGAGCCACCACGTCTGGCCCTTTTTTTTTTTTTTTTTTTTTCAAATTTTATTTATTTATTTATTTATTATTATTTTGAGACGGAGTCTCACTCTGTCACCCAGGCTGGAGTGCAGTGGTGCGATCTCGGCTCACTCCAAGCTCTGCCTTCCAGGTTCACACCATTTCTACTGACAGCCTCCCAAGTAGCTGGGACTACAGGCGCCCCCCACCACGCCCGGCTAATTTTTTGTATTTTTAGTAGAGACCGTGTTAGCCAGGATGGTCTTGATCTCCTGACCTCGTGATCCACCCACCTCGGCCTCCCAAAGTGCTGGGATTACAGGCATGATCCACCGCGCCTGGCCATGGCCCATTTTGTGCAAATTAATAGCACATTTTGAAATCTAGAAGGGCAAGACTTTTCTACTCCGTTACAAAATTTGTTAAATGTCATCACAATAGTAAAAGACAGCGTGTGTAATTTTAAAAATGTTAAAACGTTGATAACTTTATTTGGTTTATGTAAAACTGATAAAGAACTTGCATCTTCAGAAAAATGAGTCTTCTTAAATTCGAAAACATAAACCATCTTCCCACCTCAAAGTTACCTTCTAAGGTCCCTCAGCAAAGAATATATTTACATAGACATTCATTGATATTGAAATGGATACTGGACTTTATCCAAAAAATTTTTAGCCAAGAAGTTAATATATTATGGAATTATTTCATTATGCACCATTTCATAATGTATCTAACATTATCTTTTAAAACCTGTACATTAAAAGTAAAACCCTGTATGTACTTAATTTTGTAAGTTAAATCACTTTAAAAGTCTCTACACAGTGCTCTATGAGAGGAAGTGGGAGTGAAGGAGAAAGCAGCTAACTAAAGTTTGGGGTTGATTTTAAGGTGGCCTGTGCCCTCCGCCCTGCAGGGCGCCCCATCCAAGGCCTGGGGGCCTTCCCGGGAAGAAGATCAAGACCTCGGGGGCCAGGACGGCCGCCCCGCTGCCCGCCACTCCTCCACCTGCTCCCCTCGTCCCCAGGACCCCCAGCCCCCACTCTGAAGGGGCGATCCTCCCACAGCCTCCTCCTCCTCCTGCAGCCCCGGCTCAGGCAGGGCCTGGTACCTCTTCTTCGCATCTCTTATGTTCAGGTCCATTGTCGTCTTCTTCATCATCCTCTCCAGCTTCCAGGCTTGGCCCGGGAGGCAGCTTTGTGGATCTTCCTGAGATCCCCATGGTGAATCACGTAAGAGTCGTTGTTGGTGTAGAACAGCTGACTGAAGGGGCTTGGGCGCTCTGGGCCCGTCTGGCCCTTGACAGCGGTGGCACAGAGCCTCTCCATGGCTGCAGCCACCTGCTAGAGAGAGCCCGTGCCTCCCGCTGCTCGCCCTTCCCCAGTCCCCGCCACTCGCCCTTCCCCAGTCCCCGCCGCTCGCCCTTGCCCTTCTTCAGTCCCTGCACCCGCCCTGACACGACTAGAAATCTCAGTCGGCCAAGCTTTTGGACACTCCAGCCTCTCCCGGGAGAAAATGGCTGCCCAAAACCGTTAGGCAGCTGAGCAGAACCGTTAGGCAACAGCACATGCGCAACTCAGCAGACCTGGGAGACACGCGAGGCAGGAAACCGCCCTGGCTGCGCTTCGCCCAGCACGGCGTGCAGGTGGCACCTGCCACTGAGGCGCTATCGGGCTGGCGGGGCTCCTTGCAGCGGAACGTGGGGGGCTCCCTGCCACATAGCCTGCTTGACAGAGCCGCCCCTGGCCCCTCCTCAACCTGAGATCCAGGAGCTGGGCCCTGGCGCTGGGCATCGTGCAGCCTCCAGGGTGGCGCTGAGTGTCGGTTCCCGGCCTCCTGCAGCCAGGGACCCAACCCCTGACTGAGGCGCCCTGGAGGCTTCTGGCCCAAGTATCCGCGTGGCTGGTGGCGCTGGCAGGGTCAGGGTTGCAGCCTCTCCTGCCGCGTGCCGTGTTCAGGTGGCAGCTGCAGCTGAGCCCATGGTAGAGGCTATAGGGCTGGGCCCAGACCGCTGAGCATCGCCGAGTACATCGCCCTTCCACCCGGGGCTCTGCTCTTCCTCGGCTCGCGCTGGCAGCGCAGGCTTGCGACCACTGGGCCCTGTACAGCTGCGGCGACGAGGCTTTGCGGCAGGTTCCCACGATCCGGCAACTGAGGTCCCACTGCCTGACTTAGGCGCAGTGGCGGTGTCCGACCCTGGGGTTCGCCTGCTGGTGGCGCGGACAGGTTCTGGGGTTGCCACCGCTGCTGCCACCTTCAAATGCCAGCTGCAGCTGAGCCCATGGTAGAGGCTGCAGGGCTGGGCCCAACGGCCTAAGGGTAGCCGTGTGGCACACGCCCTCCCACTCTAGGCCCTGCTCTTCCTTGGCTCGCGCCCTGAGCGCTGGTTTGCAGGCTCTGGGCACTGTGCAGTCACCAGGATACGGCTGAGCAGCAGGTTCAGCGCCGCCTGGGCCCAGAGGGGAAGAGGGGAGTTTGGGGTTGCTTGGCCATATTTGCCTGTGTGCCAAGTGCAGGTAGCGGCAACAGTTCTGACAGGCACGGATGGCGGGTCCCGTTTAGAGGGCTTCAAGGTTCCTGAGAGCGCCCGCTGCCAGGCCTCAGGATCCCTTCCTCGTTGACCAGCGTCTGGAGTATGGCAGTGGCGCTGGGTCATCTGCAGCCATCCTGGATGGGGCTGAGCTGCAGTTCTCACCCTTGGACTGAGAGGGAAACTCGGCTGAGTGGAGCAGATGGAGAAACAGTTAAATTGAACTTATCTATAAAGACTTCCAGGCTGGGTGCAGGACCTCATGTCTGTACTTACAGCACTTTGGGAGACCGAGATAGGAGGATCACTTGATCCCAGGAGTTTGAGACCACCTTAGACAACACAGGGAAACTTTATCTCTATAAAAATAAAACCAATCAGCCAGGCATGGTGGTGCATGCCTGTGGCCCCAGCTACTTGGGAGATTGATTGTGGCAGGATCACTTGGGCCTGGGAGTTCGTGGGTACAGTAAACTGATTGTGCCACAAACAAGGAATGAGAGGTCCTGTTGCTCCCCATCCTTGACAGCATTTGACCTTTTCAGTCTTCTGGATTTTGGTTATTGTTTGATTGTTTGTGCCGCTGCACTCCAAGCCTGGGCAACAGAGACTCTCTCTCAAAATAAATAAATAAAAGACTTCTAGTCACTATATCTTATCTATGTCGAATTGTTTACACATCTGGCTTGAAGAGTTAAAACTCACAGCACCCTCTGATTATGTGATAGGGACCATGTGATTAAAGTGGGTGACCATGTTCTTGCCTCCAGGGGGCCCAAGTCAAGGGATGGTTCCCCAGCTGCAGGAGGGTGGGAATGGATGCTCAGCACCATCCCGGAGGCTACACAATGCCCAGCCCCAGGGCCCAACTCCTGGATCCCGGATCATGAACAAAAACCCAAGAATTGAAGACTTGAGTGTTAGATATGCTCATTTCTGCTGGGATATCATTCGTTCTAGACCGTCTTAGTTTACAGAGCAAAGAAATAAATGTGTGTATACAAAGCTGTGTATACACATAACTATAAATATTTCTAAATGTAATATGTATAAGTGTTAGTTCATACTGATGTCTACGACTCAATTCTTTTATCACATGATCATTCTGGCCTTCTCCCCTTGCTTACATGTAACCTCCCACTTTCATAGTGAGAAACCAGGCTCCTGTCATTTGTCATCCATTTGCTTAACTGTCTAGTTCCAATATACATTTATTCTCTATCAATATCAGAATCGCTATCCCATTTCCTGTAGGACACAGCTATACCAACCAGATCACATGAGTTGTTTGCAGTTTCTCTTCCTTTCAGTCTTCATGCATTTTCTTTGTTTCTTTTTCTTTTTCTTTTTCTTTTTTAAGATGGAGTTTTGCTCTTCTTGCCCAGGCTGAGGCTGGAGTGCAGTGGCGTGATCTCGGCTCACTGCAACCTCTACTTCCCAGGTTCAAGTGATTTTCCTGCCTCAGCCTCCTGAGTAGCTGGGATTACAGGCACCCGCCATCATGCCCAGCTAATTTTTGTCTTT
The DNA here is from genome assembly GCF_000001405.40 of Homo sapiens. Taxonomy (NCBI): domain Eukaryota; kingdom Metazoa; phylum Chordata; class Mammalia; order Primates; family Hominidae; genus Homo; species Homo sapiens. The sequence continues at coordinate 15,333,009 of NC_000018.10, forward strand.
TTAGTAGAGATGGGGTTTCACCATTTTGGCCAGGCTGGTCTCAAACTCCCAGCCTCAGGTGATCTGCCCACCTTGGCCTCCCAAAGTGCTGGGATTACAGGTGTGAGCCACCACAGAAGGCCCATCCATTTTCTAAGATGCTTATGTCAGCACGTTTTTCCCACTCCCTAGAGTGAAGTGGCTTTATACATTTGTAGTACTTTAGATTTTCTATCACATTCTGCATTCCATCCCAGGATCCCCAGAACACCTACTTTGTTGTTGTTGTTTTTTTAAAATTTACATATATTAAGTGACACTCTTTGTGCTGTGAGATTCTTTGTTTCTTAACAAATGCAGGCCGGGTGCAGTGGCTCACGCCTGTAATCCCAGCACTTTGGGAGGCCGAGGTGGGCAGATCACAAGGGCAGGACATGGAGACCATCCTGGCTACACGGTGAAACCCCGTCTCTACTAAAAATACAAAAACAAAATTAGCCGGGCGTGGTGGCAGGCACCTGTAGTCCCAGCTACTCGGGAGGCTGAGGCGTGAGAATGGCGTGAATCCGGGTTGCAGAGCTTGCAGTGAGCCGAGATCGTGCCACTGCACTCCAGCCTGGCCGACAGAGCAGACTCCGTCTCAAAAAAAAAAAAAAAAAAAAAGAACGCAAATGCATACTATCATGATTCCACAGTTGTGGTAACATGCAGAATACTTTGACTGGTCCAAATAATGCCCACGTGCTTCACCTATTAAACCTCCTCACTGAATCTTTCGCCAGATCATTTACTTTTTTAGGAAGTAATATTCCTTTATATGACGTATCACAGTTTTTTTTTTCCATTCATCAATTATGAGACCTCTTGGTTTCTTCCAGTTTCGGGAATTATAAACAAAGCTGCTATATATATATTCATGCGTCAGTTTTGGTGTGGATATAGTTTTCAAATAAGGTGGATAAACACCTAAAAACACATTTGCAGCCAGGCACGGTGGCTCACACCTGTAATCCTAGCACTTTGGGAGGCCGAGGCTGTCGCATTGCCTGAGCTCAGGAGTTGGACAACAGCCTGGGCCACGTGGTAAAATTTCCCACATCAACAGGTTATACTGTCTCTAGTAAAATACAAAAAAAAAAAAAAAAAAAAAAAAAAAATTAGCCGGGCATGGTGGTAGGTGCCTGTAGTCCCAGCTACTCTGGAGGCGAGGCAGGAGAATTGTTTGAACCCAGGAGGTGGAGGTTGCAGTATCCTTCTATTGCACCACTGCACTCCAGCCTGGGTGACAGAGCAAGACTCTATCTCAAAACAAACAAAAAAAAAACACAATTGCTATATTACATGTAAGACTTTTTTTTTTCATATAGTATAGCAACTATGGGCATAAGAAATTGCCCATCTGTCTTCCAAAGTGGTGGTTTCATTTTGCAGGTGGTGAAAGAAAAAAAACAAAAAACAAAATTCTTCTTGCTCCTGGTTTTTGGGAAAAAGCATCCCATTTCTCATCATTAAGTATGATAGTTTTAGGGGTTTTCTAGATGTTCTTTGTCAAGTTATGAAAATTCACCTCAATTCCTAGTTTTCTGAGAGTTTCTCAAATTATAGATGGGTGATAGATTTTGCCATAAGCTTTTTCTACATCAATTGATACAGTCACATGATTTTTCTTCCTTAACCTGTTGATTTAGGAAATTCTGCAGATAATTTTCTAATATTGAATCAGTCTTGCATACTGTCTTACCTAAAATAAATACATAGTTAGATTCAGTTGTCTAGTATTTTGTGAAGTATTATTGAATCTTTGTTCATGAGAGATATTGATATATTTATTTTATTTAATTTTATGTCTATTGGATTTGGTAAGAGGGTAATATTTACCTCATAGAATGAATTAGGAAGTGTTCTCTCTAATTCCATTTTCTTGAAAAGTCTGTGGAAAATTGGTATAATTTTGCCATTAAATGCTTGATAGAATTCACCACTAAAGTCATTTGGGCCTGGAACCATTGGAGGGGTGGGCGGGTTATTAACTATTTATTCAATTCCTTTTATAGATATAAGAGTACTCATGTTATCTATTTTTTCTTTTGTGAGTATTGGCATATTGTGTCTTTCAAGGTATTTGTCCATTTTATATAGGTTATTGAACTTGTGAGTATAGAGTTTTTAATATAGTAAATATATCATCCTTTTAATGTCCACAAAATCAGTAGTCATAAACCATACCCCTGTTTCACTTCCAATATTTGTAAGTTGTGCATTCTTTTTTTCTTTATTAGTTTGTCTAAATGTTAGCAAGCTTATAGATCTTTTCAAAGAAACAGCTTTCTGTTTCATTGATTTTCTCTATTGTTTTCCTGTTTTCTATTTTACTGATATCTGCTAAACTTTATATATTTTTTCCCTTGTTATTTACTTTGGATTTTCTTTTTCTAGTTTCTTAAGGCAGAAGCTTAGGTTATTGATTTTATCTCTTTTTTCATAATAATATGCATTTAATGCTATAAATTTAGGTACTAGTTCTACTGTATCTCATATATTTTAATAAGTTGTGATTTCATTTTCATTTAATTCCAAATATTTTAATTACTGTTTAGTCTTCTTTTGGGATGCATTTAGATGTTTTGTTAAGTCTTCAAATATTTGAAAAATTTTTCAATTCTTCCTGCTATTTATTTCTACTTTAATTTTTATTGTGGTCTGAGTGTGTACTTTGTATGAACTTTATTCTTTGAAAAATTTTAAGACATTTATGGCCCATAATGCAGTGTGTCTTGTACAAACTAGAGAAGAATGTGTATTCTACTTTTGTTGAAGTAGAATATAAACATTAATTATATTCATTTATTTTTAATTTTATTTTATTTTATTTTATTTTATTTTATTTTATTTTATTTTGAGATAGAGCCTCACTCTGTCACCCAGGCTGGAGTGCAGTGGTAGTCTTGGCACACTGCAACCTCCACATCTCAGGTTAAAGTGATCCTCCCACCTCAGCCCAGAGTAGCTGGGATTACAGATGTGTGCCACAACACCAGGCTAACTTTTGTATTTTTAATAGAGACGGTGTTTCATCATGTTGGTCGGGCTAGCCTCAGGTGGTCCACCCACCTTGGCATCCCAAAGTGCTGGAATTACTGGCAGGAGCCACTGTGCCTGGCCTGCCTTCTCTTATTTTAATTGAGCATCTTCTATGATTGCATTTTTGTCTCAGCTCTTGGTGTATCTCATCACCTCATGAGATGTGATCTCATCACTTCTTTTAAAAATTTGCGGTGTTTTTCTTAGGATTGATTATATGCATTTTAAGTCTATCTTTAAATTAATTAGAATTGATTATATACATTTTATATCTATCTTCAAATAAAATTGTTACTTCACACGTAGTGTAGGTATCCCATAAAAATACTACCAGATTGTACCTCCTGTACCTTATGACATTGCTATTGTTAATTTCATCTGTCCACATTCTATAATTACCCATTTTTTGTGACTAAACAGTTATCTTATGGATCAATAAGAATAAAAAAATTTTTAACTTTAATTTATTCTTTTTCATTTATTACTTCTTTATTGTGTATCTGAATTTCTCACTTGCATCATTTTCTCTCCACTTGAAGAACTTCTTTTAGTATTTTTTGCAAGACAGGTCAGCTGATGATGTATCACTAAAATTTTGTTTTTCTGAGAAAGTTTTCTATTTGCTTTCTTTGTTAAAGGAAATTTCAATATATAGAATTGCTTTATCCCCCTAAAGTCATATGTTGTTGAATATATTTTCAAATACTTATTTGCCATTTTTATATTTCCTTTGGTGACTTATCCATTTATATTGTTTCCCCATTTTTAACTGAATTGTTTGCTTTCTTGTGAAATTTGAAGTGTTTCTTGTGTATTTTGGATAATAGCCTTTATTACAGATTAGTGGATAAAGAAAATGTGGCATATACATACAATGGAATATTATTCATCCTTACAAAAGAAAGAAATCCTAAAATTTGTGATAGCATTGATGGACTGAGAGAACATAATGCTAAGTAAAATAAGCCAGACACAGAAAGACAAATATACTGCATAATCTCATTTATCTGTGAAATCTAAAAAATTTAAACTCATTAGATGCTAGGGATTAGAAGGTAGGAAAAATGGGGAGATGCTTTTAGTTAAAAGATGAATAAATTCTGGATACCTAACATATATAGCATAGTAGCTACAGCTGATAAGAATGTATTGTATACCTGAATTTTGCTAACAGGGTAGGTCTTATGTATTTCCATACAAGCACACATAGACACACACAGAGAAAGTGTAACTTTGTAAGTTGATGAAAATGTTAATTGACTGCGGCTATTACTTCACAATGTATACATACATCACATCATATTATATAACTTAAATATGTACAATTTTTATTTATCAATCATACTTCAATGAAGCTAGAAAGAAAAATAAGAAAAAAACATTTGTACAGCATAATTAATTATGAAACGGATACATTTTCTAACAATTATGATATCTTTTTCTATGCTTATTTTAGAATATTGTATTGTCATTGGGATTATTGCCACCATTTTCTTCTCTGTACCTGTATTCCTATCTTTATCACAGTGACCAAATCTCCTCTGATAACACTTAATTTTTGCCCATCTGAAATTATATCTTAAATTCCAAAAAGTAAATATTTTCTGATTTTTAGGGAAAAATAAGAATTTTTTAGATTTCCTAGGTGACCTCTAGAAAAACTGTGACAATTTTTGCCTTATAAAATGGATAAGGCTAAAATAAATTGGGCTTCTTTGGTATGCCCCATATTTCTTCATTAGTTCCACACATCTGTGTGAGTTGCATGAGGTCAATTCTAAAAGACTCAGCCTTCTCAGTTCATTTTACATAATCTTACATATTAAGATGAATGGTGGTGGGGTGCGGTGGCCCACGCCTGTAATCCCAGCACTTTGGGAGGCTGAGGTGGGCACATCAGGAGGTCAAGAGATCAAGACCATCATGGCCACCATGGTGAAACCCCATCTCTACTAAAAATACAAAAACTAGCTGGGTGTCGTGGTGCATGCCTGTAGTCTCATCTATTCAGGAGGCTGAGGCAGGAGAATCACTTGAACCCAGGAGGCAGAGGTTGCAGTGAGCCAAAATCGCACCACTGCACTCCAGCCTGGTGACACAGGGATACTCTGTCCAAAAAAAAAAAAAAAAAACAGGTGAATTGTTTAGGAACTGTAGACATTTAACTCACAGATTAGAGACTGTAATAGGAAATTGGAGAGGTATATGCCCCCAGGTGAAACATTGGTCAAGTCTTTATGAGATAGTATTGAACCTAATGCAGAATTTTATTCTTCTCCATTTTTATATTATTGTTTACTATATAAATTAAACAGCCATTTAGTTGCTTCTCTAGGTGGTTTTTGTTTTCCTCTGACACTTACTTGAATGTTCTCCTATAAAGTACTGAGCATAACAACTTACTTTTAAATCTCATTGTTTTAAGGATTTATTTTTTGCCTCATTGGTAGATAATTTTATCAAAGCAAAAAACTGACTCAACATCCAGTAGAAGGAGTATTAATTACACAGTTTCTTTTTCTAGCTCTGATCCTCAATTTTATGTACTACAGCTTGTAAGTGAAATACATCCTTCAAACGCTGTCTAATTTCTATTTTTCTCTGAGAATTCAGAAAAATATATTTGTACTGACTCTCCATGCTTGTAAGACAACATATTATTATTGTAGGAATTTCTCCTTAGTTCAGCTAAAAGCTGCGTTCTTGTCACACAGCCATGAAATATTAGGCTCACCGACGCTTCGAAGGGTAAGAAAAATGGAATTTATTGGGCAAAAGGGAGAAAAGGAGAAACAGAGACTCTCAGTAAAGTGAGTCCTGCTACCCAGCTTCCTGCCTCATAGATTGAATCCCAGCCTCCGTCCTGGAACAGAAGAGGCCAGGCTCCTCCCCGCTGCAAACTTCCCCAGGCTCCACCTCAGTGTGCACTCCTGCCAGTGTGCAAGCTGGTCGGAAGTTCTGCTGGGGAGCCCTTTTTACTTGTTGTCTCATTATTTGCATAGTTTCATCAAGAATCTGTCCTTTTTTCCTGGGATTTAATTGGACATCCAAGGTCATACATGTGTTTATAAGGTATGAAAATACCTATTAAGGAAAAAGATTGTACTTTAAATGTTGAGCCAATACCTACTAAGTCCTCCACCTGTTCTATGGTTCCAGCCTCACATTGGTAAGGGAGTGTTTTCAGAAGGCCATGAATCTTACATTTTAGAACCCGGTGGAGGGAAGACTTCACCTATGTGTTTAACTCCTCTTTCTGAAGCTACATAAATAATCAGGGTCTAATATAGTCAGATAAACTTTTTCTTTTTTTGATTAAGAATAACACTTGGAGGCCGAGCCGGTGGCTCACGCCTGTAATCCCAGCACTTTGGGAGGCTGAGGTGGGCGGATCACGTGGTGAGGAGATCGAGACCATCCTGGCTAACACGGTGAAACCCCGTCTCTACTAAAAATACAAAAAATTAGCCGGGCGTGGTGGTGGGCGCCTGTAGTCCCAGCTACTCGGGAGGCTGAGGCAGGAGAATGGCGTGAACTCGGAGGCGGAGCCTGCAGTGAGCCGAGATCATACCACTGTACTCCAGCCTGAGAGACAGAGCCAGACTCTGTCTCAAAAAAAAAAAAAAAAAAAAGAATAACACTTGGAGATTACTGACATGAAAATAAGGAACTGAGTTAGTTATGGATTAGCACTAACAGAGGACATATTTGTGATAGGGGACTGCTAAGGAAAAGTATCTAAAACTCTGACATAAAACATGTATTTTTAGTGTAATATTACATTATTAAAAGCTATCATCTCAAAGGCCAACCCAAAGATTACTTCATTTTCTTTTGACTTGGCCATGTATTAGTTGATTTGATCCTAGATGCTATGCAATTATGTGATAACTTCTAGGTTTCTCTCTAGTAGAAAAAGACAATGCCAGACCTTATGGATCTGTTTCCATGAAGGATATTAATCAGTTTTAATTCACAACTGATAGGAGTTCATCAAACATCAGAAAAACTGCTCTTGAGTGCATTTACTGTACACATTTTTGTGAATTGCTTCATTATATCACATTTCCAATTCCCTTTTTCTAATAAGTTTAATAAAGTTTAAATTTTATGCTTAATAACAAAAAATACAGTGCAATTGGGAATACATTTTTTTTCTTTTAATTTTCTTCTTTAAATTGTGGTAAAATACACATACTGTAAAATTTATCACTTTAATGAATTTTAAATGAACAGTTCAGAGGACATTACATTCACCAAATTGCACAACCTTTACCACCGTCCATTTCCAGAACTCTTTAATCATCCCATATAGAAGCTCTGTACCCATTAAACAATAACTTCTCACCCACACTAGTCCCTGGTAATGATTATTCTTTCTCTATGATTTGCTTATTCTAAGTACTTGAAGCAATATTTATCCTTTTGCATCTGGCTTATTTCACTAAGCATAATGTTTTCAAAGTTTATGTATGTTGTAGTCATTGAAGTTCTGTAGTGTATATTAGAATTTCATTCCCTAATAAGGCTGAATAAATTTCCATTATGTGAATATGGTGTATTTTGTTTATTCATTCATTTATTGATGAACCTTTGAGTTGCTTCCTGCTTTTGGTTACTGTAAATCATGGTACTGTGAACATTGGTGGTTAATATCTGTTGGAGTCTCTATTTGCAATTACTTTGGGCATGTATATAGGCATAGAATTGCTGGATCATATAGTAGTTCTATGTTTAACCTTTGAGGAGCCACCTAACTGTTGTCCACAGAAGCTACACCATTTTACATTCCCACCAGCAATGCACAAGGGTTCCCATTGACTCTGAATCCTCACTAACCCTTGTTATTTTCTGGAGTTTCTTTTTTGTAATCATCCTAATGGGTGTGAAATGATATCTCATCATTACTTTCATTTGTGTTTTTCTAATGCTAGTGATATTGAGCCTCTTTTCATGTGCTTGTTGGCCATTCGTATATCTTCTTTAGATAATTATCTATTCAAGTCCTTTGCCTATTTAACAAATTGAACCATTTATTATTGTTGAGTTGCTGGAGTTCTTTATTCTATTATACATATTATATCCACATATACTGATGTCATATCACATATGTGATTTGCAGACATCTTCTCCCATTCTTTGAGTTGTTGTTCCACTGTCTTGAGGGTGACTTTTTTTTTTTTGAGATGGAGTCTCCCTCTGTCGCCCAGGCTGGAGTGCAGTGGCACAATCTCAGCTCACTGCAACCTCTGCCTCCCAGGTTCAAGTGATTCTTTTGCCTCAGCCTCCCAAGAAGCTGGGATTACAGGTGCACACCAGCATGCCCAGCTAATTTTTGTATTTTTAGTGGAAATGGGGATTCACCATATTGGCCAGGCTGGTCTCAAATTCCTGACCTTGTGATCCACCTGCCTCAGCCTCCCAAAGTGCTGGGATTACAGGCGTGAGCCACCACACCTGGTCAATGGTGACTTTTAATGCACAGAACTTTTACTTTTGATGAAACTATTTTTTTTGTTTTTTTTTATTCCCTGTACCTTTGATATCATATCTAAGAAATCATTGTTAAATCTAACATAAAGAATATTTTCTCCTACGTTTTTTTTTTCTAAGAGTTTAAGGGTTGTAGTTGTTACTTTTAAGTCTTTGATCTATTTTAGCTTATTTTTGTATATCATGTAAGTTAAGGGCCCAAACTTTATATTTTGCCTGTGGATATCCAGTTTACCCAGTACTATTTGTTGTTATTAATCAATTTTGCTTCTTTTTTTTTTTTTTTTCGAGGCGGAGTTTCACTCTGTTGCCCAGGCTGGAGTGCAGTGGCGCAATCTGGGATCACTGCAAGCTCCACCACCTGGGTTCATGCCATTCTCCTACCTCAGCATACTGAGGAGCTGGGACTACAGGCCACCATGCCCGGCTAATTTTGGTTTTGTATTTTTAGTAGAGACCGGATTTCACCATGTTAGTCAGGATGGTCTCGATTTTCTGACCTCCTGATCCACCCACCTTGGCTTCCCAAAGTGCTGGGATTACAGGTGTGGGCCAGCGCTCCCAGCCCAGTTTTGCTTCTAACATAGTTGTCTTATTCTAACATTTCTTGTTTTGGGGGAAAGAAAATCTGTAATTTTTTTTTTTTACTTGTTCTTGGAACCAGCTTTCCCACCTACTGATTTCCTCAGGAATAAGTGAAATAAATTTTGACACAGGTTTATTTTGTATTTGTATGTGAGTTTTATTATTAAGCTCATTATTGTTTTATTATTAAGCAGAGAAAATTATACTCTGGCCATATAAATATCCACAGTGTATTACTTTCAGAATGTCCTGATTTTTTCTCTTGCTATAAAGAAGACTCAGGGAATTTACAATAACACACCAGATTGTTAGAGTCAGGCAGCCATTGTCAGTTGGTGGGTCAGAACTGTACATAGATTTTGAAACAAACAACAGCTACAATGACAATTTCTTATAGACAGAAAATGTAAACCCATGCTTTATTTACTTCTCTCCCAACGAACATAACTAGGCCTATTTTTTATTCTGAGACTTCTCTAAAGGGGCCTTTCATTTGTTCTATGACAGATAACTTGATGGATCAAGTGGGTTAAAACTAAAATAATAGTGTGAAACACCAAGTTATGTCCTTGTAAGCATTATATGTTGACATTTGCATCTAGACATTTAAACATCTAGAGAACACTGATACCATCTTCACTTATTGACAATGGCATATTATCAATTCACTTTTCCAAAGAGATAGAAGTTACTTCTTTTGACTTACATCTGACTTCTTAAACTGTCAAATGAAGTAGCTGAGTATAACTCAGCTACTGAGTTATAACAGTATAATCATGAAATGATTTGAGGCTTTGAGACCCTGGAACAAACTTAAAACCACTATATTAATAGTGGCTACAAACTAGTATTAGCTGGAAGGGTTTTGAAAGATTATGTTGATTTCTTAGATATATTTGTGTCAGAGAGGCAACTGCAAGTTAATCTCTACTCTTAGTGAAAGGCTTAATGTGGACACCTATAAAATCCCCAGTGGTCATAACTTGCAGGAATCTCTCCAGAGGGACAGCATCATACCCAGTAGGGTGACATTAATTTCCTCAGGACAGATCAGCAATTAAAAAAAAATACAGAACTAGGCATGAGTCAACTTCTCCCTTAAAATTGTATTTCTCATCTAAATGAAAGCACATTTTAAAGAGAGAAAGATGTGTAAGATATAGAAATATTAAAGTAAGGGCTACAGAACATAATACAAAGCAAATGAAGAGAGGAGGCTAAATATCAAAGTTGTAGGTGGTGAGTTATACTCAGCTACTTCATTTGACAGTTTAAGAAGTCAGATCTAAGTCAAAAGAAGTAACTTCTGTCTCTTTGGAAAAGTGAATTGATAATATGCCATTGTCAGTAAGTGAAGACCGTATCAGTGTTCTCTAGATGTTTAAAATATTGTAAGACATTTGTTCATATAAAAATTGTTAATCATCTTGCTTGCTATGGGCTTTTTAAAAACAATTAAGGGCTACTCCTTTTAGTAAACATGTAACTCTATACATTGAAAAAATCCAATTGTAAATTGACTTGCTATCCTTTCCTTCAATACAAACATTAGCCTCAAATGCAAAAGTGGCATAGATTCAGAGTAAATTAAGTGAAAATATGAAGGGGTGGCCAGCCCCTCCACACCTGTGGGTACTTCTAGTCAGGTGGGATGAGAGACTGAGAAAAGAAATAAGACACAGAGTCAAAGTATAGAGAAAGAAAAGTGGGTCCAGGGGACCAGTGCTCAGCATACCAAGCACCTGCACCGGCACCGGCCTCTGAGTTCCCTCAGTTTTTATTGATTATTATTTTCATTATCTCAGCAAGAGGAATGTGGTAGGAGAGCAGGGTGATAATAGGGAGAAGGTCAGCAAAAAAAGGTGAGCAGAAGAATCTGTGTCATAATTAAGTTCAAGGGGAGGTACTATGCCTGAATGTGCACGTAGGCCAGATTTATGTTTCTCTCTGCCCAAATATCTCAGTGGAGTAAAGAACAATAAAGCAGCATTGCTGCCAACGTGTCTTGCCTCCCACCATAGGGTGGTTTTTCTCCTATCTCAGAATTGAACAAAGGTAAAATCAGGTTTTATACCGAGACAGTCCATTCCCAGGAGCAGGCAGGAGACAGTGGCCTTCCTCTATCTCAACTGCAAGGGCTTTCCTCTTTTACTAATCCACCTCAGCACAGACCGTTTATGGGTGTTGGGCTGGGGGATGATCAGGTCTTTCTCATCCCATGAGGCATATTTCAGACTATCACATGGGGAGAAACCTTGGACAATACCCGGCTTTCCAGGGCAGAGGTCCCTGCCATTTTCCGCAGTGCATTGTGCCCTTGGTTTATCGAGACTAGAGAATGGCAATGACTTTTACCAAGCATACTGCTTGTAAACATTTTGTTAACAAGGCATAGCCCTAGATCCCTTAAACCTTGATTCCATACAACACATGTTTTTGTGAGCTCAAGGTTGGGGCAGAGGTTGGGGCAAAGTGATTGGGGCAAAGTTACAGATTAACAGAATCTCAGGACAAAGCAATTGTTCAAAGTACAGGTCAAAATGGAATTTATTATGTCTTCCCTTTCTACATAGACACAGTAACAGTCTGATCCCTCTTCCTTTTCCCTACAAAATAGAAATGATCGTTAGCAACAGAAGAAAACTAAAATGAATAACTTATTTTTTAAAAGTAACATATTGGCTAGGCATAGTGGCTCTTGTCTGTAATCCCAGCATTTTGGCAGGTGGAGGTGGGCAGATCACTTGAGGTCAGGAGTTTGAGATCAGCCTGATCAACATGGTGAAACCTCACTTCTATTAAAAGTACAAAAAATGGGCTGGGCATGGTGGCTCACGCCTATTATTCCAGCACTTTGGGAGGCTGAGGCAGGTGGATCAGGAGGTCAGGAGTTCGAGACCGGCCTGACCAACATGGTGAAACCCTGTCTCTACTGAAAATACAAAAATTAGCCAGGCATGGTGGCACATGCCTGTAATCCCAGCTACTCAAGAGGCTGAGGCAGAAGAATCGCTTGAACCTGGGAGGCAGATAGCCGGGCATGGTGGCACGTGCCTGTAATCCCAACTACTAAGGAGGCTGAGGCAGAAGAATTGCTTGAACCTGGGAAGTGGAGGTTGCAGTGAGCCGAGGTTGTGCCATTGTATTCCAGCCTGGGTGACAGAGCAAGACTCTGTCTCCAAAAAAAGAAAAAAACATAAAAACAAAAAGCAAGCTGGGTGTGACTGGTGTCTGTCTGTGATCCCAGATACTTGGGAGGCTGAGGCAGGAGAATAGCTTGAATCTAGGAGACTGGGGTTGCAGTGAGTCAAGATGACACCACTGCACTTCAGTCTGGGGGACAGAGTTAGGATCTGTCACAAAAAAAAATGCAGCAGTGTATTATGCTTATGCTTAGGATTTAGGCTGAACTATCATTTAAAATATATTGTATCCTTTCACTCTTCCTTTCCTAAGATCCCACATAGATATTGTAGAGAAGTCCAAACTCAACACCATTTGTTTACATTACTAAGGTCTTTAAAATTTTAAATAGATTTAAGTATTTAACTTAACCAAAACTAAACGCCTAGAGACTTGTCTCCACAGAAAATGAGCTTAATTCATATTTTTCTCAAACAGTTGCCAAAACCTTAAACTTGAACCCATTTTCAATGCAAGTAGTGGCTAACTTTTTTTGTGCATATCTTTTTGCCTTTTTGCCATTTCCTTAGCCAGATGTGCCTATTTATCTTCTTATTTTTGAGATGGAATTTCACTTGGTCACCCAGGCTGGAGTGCAATGGCACGTTCTCATCTCACTGCAACCTCAGCCCCCCAGGTTCAAGCGATTCTCCTGCCTCAGCCTCCTGAGTAGCTGGGACTAAAAGTGTGCACCACCACGCCCAGCTAATTTTTGTATTTTTAGTAGAGACAGAGTTTCACCATGTTGGCCAGGATAGTCTCGATATCTAGACTTCATTATCTGCCCACCTCGGCCTCCCAAACTGCTGAGATTACAGGACTGAGCCACTGTGCCCAGCTGTGCCTATATTTTTAAAATATCAAAGGTTTATCTGAAATAAAGAGAAACTACAGGATTTTGTTCTGAGATTCAGTCAAGACCTGGTAAGACAGATAATTTAGAGCAAGCTTTGATCTTATCAATGTTTATATCAGCTGAAAGAAACACTCTCACACTCAGAGTCTTTCCTAGTGATTAAAGAATTTAATTTTCATTCACAATTCACAGTAAGGAATTGTTGTAAGACAATACTGGATTTCAATGTAGCATTTTCTCCTTTTTTTGTTGTTTTAATGGCATAATATGCTATGTGTGAGGTCAACATGAGGAGTGACAAAAAGAACAAGTTTATAAATGTGGTTATATTGTCCCCTAACCTAGGAAAAAATGACAATATTAACATTAAAATTTGCATTGTTTGCCTCTGGCTTTCATGGGAATTGTTTTGTTTGTTTGTTTGTTTTTGTTTGTTTTTTTGTTTTTGATTTTTACAGTTGGTATGCCATTTTTTAATGTTACCTATAACTAGCATTAGAATTGTATGGGAGCTTTTGTTTCTTTTGTTTTGGAGGATGTGATTCTTAAAATGAAATTAATTTTTTAGAACATAAAATATATCAAGGGAAGGACATTTCTAAGAGTAATACTGGAAAAGAACAGTTAATCGGTGAATTCACCAGTAAGTTTAAGTCAATTTAAAATTAACTTAGCAAATTATATGTTCATAGCACTCTGTGAACCAGTAGGGAATACAAAAATGAAAAAATCCTGACGCTGTTTTATCAGTGAAAAGAGACAGGTCATTAACTTACTAAAATGTACGGCAGAGTAATGTAGGTGCTAAATTATGACATATACAATAAAGTCTGCGGGAACCAAAGGATATGTCAATGAGTTTCAATAAATGTTCAGGGACATCTTCAGAGAGGACAGAACAGTGGAATTTTTTAATTTAAATTTTATGGGGGATAGTAGGAAATTCCAGGTGGCCAGATGGTTTGACTAAATGCATGGTAGTTAGAATGTGTTGGCTTTATTCATGAAACAATGAATTCCATATGTCTGGGACATTAGGTACTGATGTGAACATGGAAGAAAAGTGTGGGGGCAAAGGAGAAAAAGGATAAATGGGAATTTCTGTCTACATTATGCCAAGCATTATAATTTTACTTTCTAGACCAAGAAGATATTTTTATGTTTTTTTGGGGGCATACAAGTGACAAAGTGAGATATTTATGCCTTAGGAAGGTTAGTTGTATCAAAATGTAGAAAATATTTTAAGAAATAAGAAATAAAGACTGTATGGAAAACTTTGAGATATTTTAAAAATAGGCTAAATTAAGAGCTTAAACTAGAAAAATGTTTTTCTAAGAGAAATAATGTGTTGGTACTATTAAACATGATAGGGGAAAATTGATGGGAATCAGTGACTAATTAAACATGAGATGTAAGGAAATGAAATAATTTGATAGAATTCTGAGGTTTTAAGCCTGGGTAACTGGGAGAATGGTGATGCATTTTGCAGAGGTAGGAAATGTTGAAAATACAACTGATTTTTGAAGACTAGTAATTTTACAGTCATGCACCATGTAAATACATTTCAGTAAATGGTGGACCACATATTGGTCCTGTAGGATTGTAATGGAGCTGAAAAATTCCTGTTTCCTAGTGATGTCATTGTCAATGTAATATCATTGCACAATTCATTACTCACATGTCTGTGCTGATGCTGGTGAAAACAGACCTATTGTGTTGCCAGGCTTCTAGAACATATAATTACTTACAGAACATAATACCTGATAATGATAATAAGTGACAATATTACTGGTTTATATATTTACTACTCTATTCTTTTTATTTTTATTTTTATTTTTGAGATGGAGTCTCCCTCTGTTGCCCAGGCTGGAGTCGCAATGGTGTGATATCGGCTCACTGCAACCTCCACCTCCCAGTTTCAAGTGATTTTTCTGCCTCAGCCTCCCAAGTAACTGGGACTACAGGTGCCCACAACTGCACATGCCTAATTTTTGTATTTTTAGTAGAAACAGGGTTTCACCATGTTGGCCAGGCTGCTCTTGAACTGCTGCCCTCAAGTGATCCTCCCGCCTCAGCCTCCCAAATTGCTTGCATTACAGGTATGAGCCACCATGCCTGGCCCTTTTTATCATGTTTTGAGAGGGTACTACTTACTAAAAAAGAAAAAGAAAACTGAACAGTAGAGCAATTTCAGGCAGGTCCTTCAGGAGGTATCCAGAAGGAGGGATTGTTATCATAGGAGATGTCAGCTTCATGTGTGTTATTGCCCCAAGAAACTTCCACTGAGACAGAATATGAAGGTGGAAGACAATGATGTTGATGATCCCGACCCTGTATAGGCCTAAACTAATGTGCGTGTTTGTGTTTGTTTTTATAAAAGAGTTAAAAAGTAACACAAAAATTAAAAATTGGAAAAAGCTTATAGACTTAGATATAAAGAAAATAATATTTTTTTAAAGTTGTACAATATGTTTATCTTTTAAGCTAAGAGTTGTGACAAAGGAGCCAAAAGGTTAAAAAAAGTATATTAAATAAAAAAATTACAGTAAGCTAAAGCTAATTTATTATTGATAAAAGAAAACAATTTAAAAATAAATTTGGCATAGCTTAAGTGTACATCCAGTACTGCTAAAGTCCACAACAGTGCCCGTAATGTCCTAGGCCTTCATATTCACTCACCTCTCACTCACTTACCCAGAGCAACTTCCAGCTGTGCAAGCTCCATTCATGGTAAGTGCCCTCTACAAGTGTACCTTTTTTTTTTTACTGCACCTTTTCTATGATAAGATGCAAAATACCTACCACTGTGTTACAGTTGCCTGCAGTATTTAGTACAGTAACATGCTGTACAGATTTGTAGCCTAGGAGCAACAGGCTACATATACTCTATCATATACTCTAGCAGAGTAGTAGGCTATCCTATCTATGTTTGTGTAAGTACACTCTGAGATATTTGCACAATAACAAAACTGCCTAAAGACATATTTCTCCAAATTTATTCCATCATCAAGTGATTCATGCCTGTATGCACACATATGCAGGGGCATGCAGAGAGGGCAATTCCTGTGTCCCAGGCACTGCTTTATGCTTGATAAATCTGTTATTCACCCTCACTACAATCTTACCCAGAGACAGGCACCATTATTTTCCCCATTTCACAAATAAATAAACTGAACACAGGTAATTTATGTAACTTGCCTAAGATCACATAACTGGAAAAGAGAGAAAAGAAATTTAAGCTGATTATAGAGCTCTTTCTATTAACGATTATGATATACTTTGTAATGTTATTTCTAGCTTTGATCATTTTATGAAGGAAAATAAAATAGATTAACAAAATTCAAAAATCTTTAACATAAAATTATAAAAGAACTTGATTAACGTTATAAAGTGAGGGATAGTCCAGGCGAGGTGGCTCATGCCTGTAATCCCAGCACTTTGGGCGGCTGACGCAGGTGGATCATGAGGTCAGGAGACTGAGACCATCCTGGCTAACATGGTGAAACTCCATCTCTACTAAACATACAATAATTAGCCGGGCATGGTGGCGGGCACCTGTAGTCCCAGCTACTTGGGAGGCTGAGGCAGGAGAATTGCTTGAACCTGAGAGGCTGAAGTTGCAGTGAGCCAAAATCCCGCCACTGCACTCCAGCCTGGGTGACAGAGCAAGACTCCATCTCAAAAAAAAGAAAAAAAAAATTAAAAAATATTAAAATGAGGGATAAATGGGGCCGGGCATGGTGGCTGATGCCTGTAATCTCAGCACTTTGGGAGGCCGACGTGGGCGGATTGCCTGAGCTCAGGAGTTTGAGACCAGCCTGGGCAACATGGCGAAACCCCGTCTCTATTAAAAATACAAAAATTAGCTGGGCATGGTGGTGGGTGCCTGTAATCCCAGCTACCTGAGAGGCTGAGCATGAGAATCACTTGAACCCAGGAGGGAGAGGTCGTAGTGAGTCGAGATCACACCACTGCACTGACAAAGGAAGACTCTGTTTCAAAAAAAAAAAAAAAAAACAAGAAAGAAAGTGAAGGATAAATGGAGAGAAAGAAAAACAATCATAGAGATTCCCCTTAACTTCTACCACTAAAAGCAGACACACACACACACTCACTATAAGAAACAAGGTCAAAAGGAAAATGTCTTTACATATGAAGCCTTCCATTTACAGCTTAACTATCCCTGGAGGCCACATCTAAGGACAACCCTTTTAAAAAGCCATGGTGTGTAAGTGAATATGTATTTTGTGTATATTCAGTATATTCAAGGTAAATAGTGGTTTTTATTAAAATAACAAGGGAAAAATAGTGGACCTTCATCTCTCATGAAGAACATGACAGGATGAACTGTTTAGGTCAAATTTTAAAAGACCAGGCTGGGTGCGGTGGCTCACACCTGTAATTCCAACACTTTGGGAGGCCAAGGCAGGCAGACCGCCTGAGGTTGGGAGTTTGAGACCAGCCTGACCAACATGGAGAAACCCTGTCTCTACCAAAAATACAAAATTAGCCGGGCGTGGTGGTGCATGCCTGTAATCCCAGCTACTCTGGAGGCTGAGGTAGGAGAGTGGCTTTAACCCGGGAGGTGGAGGAGGTTGCTGTGAGCTGAGATTGCACCACTGCACTCTAGCCTGGGCAACAGAGCAAGACTCCGTCTCAAAAAAATAAATAAAAAATAAATAAAAATAAAAAATAAAAAAATAAGAATTAGGAAGACCAATTTAATAATAAGGTAAGTTACAAAGAAAATTTGTAGGCCGGGCGCGGTTGCTCAAGCCTGTATCCCAGGACTTTTGGAGGCTGAGGTGGGCAGATCACGAGGTCAGGAGATCCATACCATCCTGTCTAACATGGTGAAACCCCGTCTCTACTAAAAACACAAAAAATTAGCCAGGTGTGGTGGTGGGTGCCTGTAGTCCCAGCTAATCAGGAGGCTGAGGCAGGAGAATGGCATGAACCCTGGAGGCAGAGCTTACAGTGAGCCAAGACTGCACCACTGACTCCAGCCTGGGCGACAGAGCAAGATTCCATCTCAAAAAAAAAAAAAAAAAAAAAAAGAAAATTTGTGAATTTGTATGCAGTTCAGTTGCCTGACCCATAAATAAACATGAATGAGTAAAATGGAAGTTCAGCTTAATAATGAGCTATTGCACAATAGGAAGAAATAAATTAGGGATGGATACAAATTGAAAGAAGGATAAATGCATGCTAACTTCTTATCTTGATCTATAAGTCTAAAAACATCTTAAAAGACCAGATGATTAAAAAAATAGTAACTTTAATTGTTAAAAATTATCATTTATTTTTCCTCAGGTGGTGGCTCAGTGTTCACTCTGAAAAATGAAAAATTGCCCATTTTTGTGAAAAAGTTCTACTGATATGTGAAGTTACCACATTTATTCATTGAATTCTCTTCCTGAATGAATGACATAGAACCCCAATAGATAAATTAATATGTTAAAATTAAAAGATTATCTAATAAACAACTTTTCTGTTTTAATAAAATTGTATTTTGATATGTTTGAAAGATTTTTATTGTAGTGAAAAATATATATAAAATAAAAAATAATGATGTTGGATAACATCATAAATGATTTCTAAGGTAGAAGATTCTATTGTTTAGAAAAACATCTTTGAGAGTCTTTTTTCATGAGGCACTAAATTCCTTGGTATAATAGGGTACCCTAGACAAAGTAGCTTGTTTTTTTTTTAATTTTTTTTTGAGAGTCTTGTTCTGTCACCCAGGCTGGAGTGCAGTGGCACAAATCTCGGCTTTTTGTGACCTCTGCCTCCCAGGTTCAAGTGATTATCTTGCCTCAGCCTCTTGAGTAGCTGGGATTACAGACACACGCCATCATGCCCAGCTAATTTTTGTATTTGTAGTAGAAACAGGGTTTCACCATGTTGGTCAGGAGGTTTTGAACTCCTGACCTCGTGATCCACCCGCTTTGGCCTCCCAAAGTGCTGAGATTACAGGCATGAATCACTGCGCCCGGCCACTTTTAGAATATTTAATGCTTCATAAATATGATGTAAAAAAGGGCGAGCTGTAACATTAAGTAGTAACTAAGAGGAGTGCCAAGTTACCACCAGGCAGTTAGCAAGACGGGGCAAGGCAGCCCCAGGTGTAGAATTAATAATGTGAGAGAGACTAGAAGTTCCAAGAAAATGGTAGGGTGGGGTGGAGAAATTCCTTCTGATGGGAAAAAATGAGGAGATTCAGGATAGTGGTGGCAATATATGCATGTATATATGTGTGTGTGTATATATGTGTATACGTGTATATATGTGTGTATGTATATATGCATATATATGTATATGTGTGTATATGTGCATATACATGCATATATGTGTATATATATGCATGTTTATGCATTTTGCTGCTCTTTGTGGGATGTAATTCTCCCTTATCTCCTCCACATAGTGGTCTTGAATTAATGGTGCTTGGTGCTAAGGTGGGGGTGAAAGTGGAATGAGTCCCCTCACTAGAGGGAACTGAGTAGAGAAAACATGATCTGCTCTGGAGCACAGAGAAGAGGGCAGGCTCCAACAGTAAGTGAGGAGAGGCCAAGCCCAACTAACCAAGAAACTCCCAGAAAATATGGAAGACTCTGAATGCTGTGAAGCACAGGGGATAAAGGAATCAAGATTTTTTTTTTTTTTTTGAGATGAAGTCTCACTCTGTTGCCCAAGATGAGTGCAGTGATGTGATCTTGGCTCACTGCAACCTCCGCCTCCTGGGTTCAAGCTATTCTCCTTCCTTAGACTCCTGAGTAGCTTGGATTACAGGCACCTGCCACCATGCCTGGCTAATTTTTTTGTGTCTGTGATAATATTTTGTCTTCAGCAAAATTCTATTATTGACCTTAATACATAGAACCTTATTCGTCTGCATGTCTGGTTTGTGAGCAGAGATTATTTTGAGTCCTCAAAACCTAGAGCAGTGCAGTTGTAAAAGGCTTTGACTGAAGTCTTAACAAATATTTGCTAAACTGAATTTTGTAGAAATGTTCCAGACTTTAGCATGGCATTTACAATTCACACATTCTTGTTATATTCAAATAATAAACTTTACTGAGTCAGCAGCATTTAATATTAACAAGAAAACAGTGAAATAATGTATGGATTAATTCTGAATTGCAAATTTAACTTTAATGTTAAAAGTTTCCATAAGTTATCTCCAAGCCTGGAAATAAATCCAAAATTGGTCTTAGTTATATATTTGTAAAATGCATATTCATATGAAGAATGAAACGCATCATCCTATATCTTCCCTTTTTTTTTTTTCTGATTTTGTGACTTGGATTTATTTTTACCAAAATTCAGGGATTCCCCCCTAATCCCAATGAGAATAATGTCTTAAATAAATGGAATTAAGAAACTTCAAAATTCTTTTTTTTTTTTTTTGAGATGGAGTCTAACTCTGTCACCCAGGCTGGAGTGCAGTGGTGCAATCTCAGCTCATGCAATTTCCACCTCCCCAGATCAAGGGATTTTCTTGCCTCAGCCTCCCGAGTAGCTGGGATTACAGGTGTGTGCCACCATGCTCGGCTAAATTTTTGTATTTTTAGTAGAGATGCGGTTTCACCGTGTTGGCCAGGATGGACTCGATCTCCTGACCTCGTGATCCACGTGCCTCAGCCTCCCAAAGTGCTGGGATTACAGGCGTGAGTCACCGCACCTGGCCCAAAACTCTTTAAAGTACTCAACCTATCATAAGACTAGTAGGTGTTTCTCAACTCTCCTTCTCAAAACATGAGATCATGAGGTCTTAATGCTGAAGATTATTGATTATTTTATGTAGAGAACATGGAAGAAAGCTGGACTGTGCTCAGGCTCAATCAGCTCCACTTGCACACCTCTCAGCAATTCTCAATTCTCACCACCAGAGAGAAGAAGGCAGTCCCTACCTGACCATCACCTGGCCTGGCTACCTTATCTGTCTAAACAGTGCATTGCAGGAGCCCCTTTCCTTTCTGTGCTGTTTTATTTTTTCTCCCCCAGCACTATTTTTCTAATTAGAATAATTGAGGAGAAATACAAGATTTTCATGGAATGAAAGCAAAAGTCTTCCAAGTATGAGAAAAATAGAACAAAGGCTGTTTATATCCATATTGATTATAGTGGGAAGGTATTATTGTAATAAATGTGATGGTTATTAAAGCAAGTCTTGATTTTAAGGAAATGTTTTATCTTGGGACTGTGACAGGAGATTATGTGATGTTCATGAGATGATCATACTGTCTCTGTCCAGGTCCCTGTAACATGTAGAACACAACCACGGTAGAGGTTCAGTCCCATTTCATTTACAGAAACAGCTTGTTCCTCAGTAGTATTCTATATATAAAAAGTAAACACACGCACTATAGTTCATAGAGAATACATTCACATGGATTACTAGGAAAACTAAAGTATCCTTTAAAAATAATTTAAAAAGAGCCAGGTGCAGTAGCTCATGCCTGTAATCCCAGTACTTTAGGAGGCTGAGGAAGATGGATCACTTGAGGTCAGGAGTTCAAGACCAGCCTAGCCAACATGGTAAAACTCCATGTTTACTAAAAATACAAAAATTAGCCAGGTGTGGTGGCATGCTACTCTAATCCCACCTGCTCAGGAGGATGAAGCAGGAGAATCACCTGAACCTGGGAGGCAGAGTTTGCAGTGAGCCAACATCACGCCAGTGCACTCCAGCCTGGGTGACAGAGCAAGATGTTGTCTCAAAAAAAAAAAAAAAAATAAAGAAATAAAAATAAAAATAATAAAAAAGGCATTCTTCTCAAAAAACTACCTCTCTATTAGATATTTTTTATCTCAAAACATAAAAGGTAAGTTTTGAAATAACTAATAGTTAATAAGAAAAACATGTAAATAGTATGTAACTAGAATTGTTAATTTCTTGAAACTTAAGGTTTGTTTTTATGTTATGTTAGCAGGATATGTAAATCTAATGGCATTCAAAAAACATAAAGTGAGAAAAAAAGAGGCTGGTATTGAACATGCATGTATTTACTATATTCTAATAATGGTCAAGTTGTTTAATTTCTTCATGAATGTCTAGGCTTCATTAGAAGTCTTCAGCTAAAATTTTGCCCATTTTGGTGAAGGAAGTGTGTGTCACATAAGGAGAGCTTAATGTTAGTATTTGCCACAGCCTTACTAATATAATCCTATAATATTGTTCTCCGTGTTCCCAAAATTAAAAAGTAGTCTAATTCTACATATGAATTCAAAATAAATGTATACTGTTATGTGTTATGTGGCATAACTCAAAATAATTAGAACTAAACACAGCTCTTATTTTCTCACACATACTGAGTATGGAATTACTATTATTTTTGTTTCCTTAATCAGAGGTAGGTGAAACTTGATAATATAGTCACTGACTGAAGGGCATTGTTTTGCCAAAGTTCGTTAAGTTAAAAAATATTTTGAATCAATAAATGTCTTTCATTAAAATATTCACCTACATAAAATAAGTATTCAGAATTGCATAGGACATATGAATGTCATCTTTCTTTTGCTGTTCATTTACCCAACATTTTTCTTCTTTTTGTATATGCCAGGTTGAAAATTATCATCCCATACTCTTTTCAGCTAAGAATAGTTCTGTGTTGGGAATATCTTGAATTTCCCTCAAGGGTTGATGTTATTGCCCACAAAGAATTTAGGCAATTTTGATGGCCAGAATGAAAACAGGCAGCTAAGATATTTATTTTTAAAAGAAAAGAATAGAAAACTTTGTAATCTAATCATGCATCGTAGGAAGTTTTTTTTTTTTTTTTTTTTTTTTTTTGAGAGACGGAGTCTTGTTCTGCAGAGCAGGCTGGAGTGGAGTGGCGTGATCTCGGCTTGCTGTAACTTCCGCCTCCCGGGATCAAGCGATTCTCTTGTCTCAGCCTCTGGGAGTAGCTAGGATTACAGACATGCGCCAACATGCCCAGCTAATTTTTGTAGTTTTAGTAGAGATGGGGTTTAGCCATGTTGGCCAGCCTTCCTCAATCGATTCTCTTGCCTCAGACTCCCAAGTAGCTGGCACGACAGACGCCCACCACCATTCCAGGCTAATTTTTTGTATTTTTAGTAGAGGCGGGTTTTCACCGTGTTAGCCAGGATGGTCTCGATCTCTTAACCTCGTGAGGAGCCCACCTCAGCCTCCCAAAGTGCTGGGATTACAGATGTGAGCCACACCCCACTCTGGAAGTAATTATTAATAATGTTGTTTCTTCTTCCAGTTCTTCAGTTTGTTAAGCGCAACTGTTGAAAACATTTATTTGTCCCAGGAGATTATAGGAAAAAAATTAAGTGAATCTACTTAAACATAAAATTCCCAGTTTTAGAATAAATTCTTTTTTTTTTTTTTTTTGAGATGGAGTTTTGCTCTTGTTGCACAGGCTGGAGTGCAATGGCACAATCTCAGCTCATTGCAACCTCTGCCTCCCTGGTTCAAGTGACTCTCCTGCCTCAGCCTCCCAAGTAGCTGGGATTACAGGTGCCTGCCACCATGCCCAGCTAATTTCTGTATTTTTTTTTGCAGACCATGTTGGCCTGGCTGGTCTCGAACTAACCTCAGGTGATCCGCCTGCCTCGGCCTCCCAAAGTGCTGGGATTACAGGCGTGAGCCACCGTGCCCGGCCAGATTCAGATTTTTATTAGGGATGTCATTTAGCTAATTTAATGTATTTGTATGCCATAGTTCATATTTTCTGTGCTGTAAGTATTTTCTATATGTCTGATTTATGTTGGAGAATAGTATCTCTTTAGATGCAGGGGCATACTGTGAGCATCTACACCATGGCAAATGGCTTTGCATTTTGCACTCTATACCATTGCCAAAAAAAGGTTTGATTATGCTACTAAAAATCCGACATGAATCAGTGAACACCAAAAGCCAATAATTTTAGAATCTCAAAATAGTGGAATGTTTATAATTGTGATATTTTCAGTTTATTTTCTCCATCAATTTTCATTAGAAAGCGAGTAAGGAAAGTGGTAGAATTTAGGAGTTAAATCAAATTAGCGGGTAGGGCGCGGTGGCTCACGCCTATAATCCCAGCACTTTGGGAGGCTGAGGCGGGCGGATCATGAGATCAGTAGATCGAGATCATCCTGGCTAACAGGGTGAAACCCTGTCTGCACTGAAAATACAAAAAATTAGCCGGGCATGGTGGCAGGTGCCTGTAATCCCAGCTACTCAGGAGGTTGAGGCAGGAGAATGGCGTGAACCCGGGAGGTGGAGCTTGCAGTGAGCCAAGATCACGCCACTGCACTCCAGCCTGGGCGATAGAGCGAACCTCTGTCTCAAAAAACAACAACCACAACAACAACAAATTAACACCTTGCTTATTATAATAAAGAACTAAAGTAATCCAATACCTGTAACCTAGAGAATAAGGTTCACATCACTTAAAATGGCATTATATATAAAAGAAAAGATTGGTTCTACTACATACATCAGGCTTATTAAGTCACACTAGACAACTGAGGTTGCCTAAGACGTCATTGTCCTGGACTTGCAAGGGCCTCCAACTCCAGTTAAGGTGATAAGAAAAAATGAAAATGAGCAACCTAGCAATTTTCACAGGCCTCAGGAAACTGGGGCCACATCGAACCCAGTCACAGGTTATACCAATTTGATTTACAACAATGAAAGAACCATCTGCTTATACTTGAGTTACAGCACATCCCTTTGTAGACATCCATACAATAGAAAGCCCCAGCAGTTGATTCACAGTAGAACAAAGTGTTTGTGTCAAGCAAAGGAAATTCTGCACTTAGAAATTTTATTGGCACATTTAATTAAAAGATGGTGTAGGTAGGCATAAGTAAGAAAACCATAAGCAGACATAGTCAACATACTAGGTAAGTAAAACCAAATTCAGAAGGTTGTATTTAGTAATATTCATTTCAGATTTCCTTGGATAATTGTGGTTTGCCTTACATCTTTTGACTATGACACAGAGATTTTATTCACTTTTTAAAATATCTCCTAGAATGTAGCTTGAGTCAGTCAAACAGGAAAACATATTGCAGCATTCTCTCTTTTACCTCCCCCAAAGCACTGTAATATGGCTTTTGGAAATATTTCCTCATTGTAATTTAGTTTTTGGAATGATGTCTGAGATACTGCTGTATGTAAATACAATGATATTCCATATTTCCTGTAAGTTTGCCTATTCAGAAAGCTGCATTTACATACATGCTGAAACACAATCGCTGGTGATGTATCAACCAGAAATTTTATGTGTGAGCCTAAAAGGAAGTGTTGAGTCTTTCTCTACTTAAATAATTAGAAATTAAAAGTACCTCTTCTGCATTCTACAGTTTATGTAATATTAAAGGAAGGAATTCTGGCAAAGTAACTGAGGTTATCAGTTCAGTTCAATTTATAAATTTATTGACATCAACTTGTCCCAGCAAAATAATCAGTAGATACTCCATAATCACCACTGTTTCTGTTTTCAAGCGGAGAGAAAAAAAATAAATTAATTGTATTATATGTTACAATCTTGGGTAAATTCTTTTCTAAATTGGTAGGTATAGCACAGCACATCAAAGGTTGATAACATAAAATAGTGGACTAAACTTCAGCTCTAAAAAGTTAACAAATCTTGAAGTCTGCTTGCTCAGTTGTAAAATGGGGATAATATTCTCACCTTTGAGTATGTCACACAGTTGCTGTAGGATTTATTTGAGAAAAAATATGCGTAAAGATGCTTTGGACATTATAAAACTGCATCCTAATACAGAGTAAAATTATAAAATTTGATTTGAATGATACCAACTAGTTGGGGATAAAATATTTTACATAAGAACTCCCTGAAAAAGGCAAAATCATGTGTCATGTCATGTTTGTCATCAAGGATGACAAGGTTTCAATTTGCCTAGGTCAGAAATGCTGTGGTTCTATTCCCTCAACAACTAGTTACTTCTGCTTCGAGTACATGTTTTCCAAAAGCTAGAAAACACCCGTCCAAAGGCTACTTTCCAAACATAAAAAAACAGGTTTACTTCAACACATTATGTCTGTAGGAAGAGTCAAATGAAACAAAACTACTGAATCATTTCCAGGATAGAGTCACACTATCCAAAATTTGGAACAGCATTGGATGATAGTTGTAGGTCAAGTCCCTTTGCAGGTATAAATCCCCCCTTTAAAGTGGAAAAGTATACAAATTGTGTAATATAGGTATACATTATAGACTATACATGACTGGAATTTCAGAGGCATGTATGCAATATGAGTTTAGCATGGAGAAATAGCCAACTGGGTAAACATCATTGATCCATGCTGCTATGAAAGATAATCAAAGCTAAAGCTGATTGCCAGTTACACATTTAGATCTTTTATGCAGCGAATTATGATAAGCAGATGCAGATTTTTTTGTTTCAGGCATTTCCCCTACAAACTATCCTACATAAGGAAATTTCCTTTATGAATATGCCAGTTACTGTGTCTATTACAGGTCTTCCAAAACATACTATTGTAGGATTTGTGAATAAATATAATGGATGGAAGCAAATTAATATTTTAGAATCTAATAAATTTTAAAAGTCTATTTAACTGAGGTTTACTTTCAATACAATAAAATACATCCAAATTAAGTACAAACATATAAAGTTATGTGGCTACCACCAATGAAGATATTGAAGCTGTCTATCACCTCAAAAGTTCTTTTGTACTCCTTACCAAAACCTCTGGCTCCAAGCAGCCATTGATCTGCAACCTACCACTATAAATTCAGTTTCTAGAATTTTGTAGTAATCAACTTTTATAATATGCCTACTGTTGTTTCATTCTCTCAATATATTTTAGGATCACCTATGTTGCAAAATCAGTGGTTCTTTCTATTTTATTCTATTGTATGGAAATACTACAATATGTTTATCCTTTAGCCTGTTGGTGAACCATTTACAAATGTTTCTATTCCTTGATTATTACAAGTAAAGCTGCTATGTTCATTTGTATGCACATGTTTTCATTTCTCTTGAGTAAATAAGAATGGAATATTCTAGGTCAAATTGTAAGTGTATGTTTAACTGCCAAACTGCAATTCAAACTGATTATCCACTTTATACTCCCACCTAAATATGATAATTCAGGGTGTTGTATGTCCTCTCAAACATTCAGAATTGACATTTTTTTGGATCCATTATAGTTTCTGTGCAGTATTATTGCATTTTGATTTTTAAATTCCATTCCCAGGTGGTTAATGATGCATTTTTCAGTGTTCATCAATCATTAATATATCTTTGGTTATTGTCGTCTACTCAAATCTCTTGCCCATTTTGTTGTTGTGTTGTTTGACTTCTCACTATGGAGTTTGATTTTTTTTTTTTTTTTTTTTTTTTTTTTGGAGATGGATTCTCTCTCTGTCACCCAGGCTGGAGTGCAGTGGCAAGATCTCGGCTCACTGCAAGCTCTGCCTCCTGGGTTCATGCCATTCTCCTGCCTCAGCCTCCTGAGTAGCTGGGACTACAGGCTCCCACCACCACACCTGGCTAATTTTTTTGTATATTTTTAGTAGAGACGGGGTTTCACCGTGTTAGCCAGGATTGTCTCAATCTCCTGACCTTCTGATTCACCCACCTTGTCCTTCCAAAGTGCTGGAAATAGAGGTGGACTTTGATATTTTTTTCTACATGTCCAGTAAAGTCTTTTGTAAAATTCTTTTTCTTCTCTCTTACTCTTCCTCTTTGACCATATCTATATATATCCATCTATCTCTATACAGTTATAAAAATACAAACTCATAAAACTCAAGAAACCCTAAGCAACATAACACAAGTAAGCCACAAGACAAGTCAGGGAGATAGGAAGACCACAGGGTTTGAAGAGTGCAGGGCAAGACAGGGCTCCACAGCATGTCCAGGCTCCATTGTGAACAGCCCTGCAGCTTGGGTCATATGATCTTGCAGGACCTGTATTCTTGCAGGTGTCAATGGTGGTCGCAGTGTGGCACACATGGCAATTCTTAGTGAAAGAATTACAACACCAGCTCCTGGGATTCTGAAACAAAGCCATGCCTTCCATAGCAGTTAATTATACGTTGGACCTAGGAGAGATGCTGTGCTTGATAAGTTACCATGCTTCTGGCGCTACCTCTTGCAGGCTGAGTTCTATTGGAACCACCAAGTCATGACACCAGAAGGGAAAAGAAGTAGTTCATCATGAGGTGGAAATAGTAAATATGAGACAAAGGCCAATCAAGATGAGAGCAAGTGGATAAGTTGAATAGCAGGTAACCCAGATCCTCATGTCACCCACCATGTTTGCACCAGCAACCTTCCTTCAGCTCACACCTGTGACTGCATTTGTGTCCCTGTGGCCATCTGAAGGAGGGAGAAAGGGGCAATCTCTGTTTAAAGGTGTAGTTGCATTGCAGCCCAATGCAAGAATGACTCTGAAAGACAGAAGGAAATTAAAATATTCCCTATTAGCAGCACTGGGAGCAGTGGCCCTGGCCAGCTACTTTACATAGAAGAAACATGGCCTAAGGCAGGAATATAAACAGATTTCTTTGCCGTAGTCAGTGGGTGAATCATCTGGTCAGAGGCTTAGATAGAAAAGAAGTGAAATATCTGAGACAAGGAAGCTGGGTTAGAAGCATATGAGTGGACATGCAGGAGCAGGCACGGAGTGTAAAGAATCTTGTATTGCACGTTCACACTCACAAGAAAGCACTCACCACAGAAGAGGCACTCAATAACCAATCAGACAAAATGACTTGACAAGCTGCCAGCCTTGGAGATTGGCTTTCCCACAACAAGCACAACAGTCACACATATGCAGTCACTCATATGACCATGTTGGCAGAGATGGACAATACATATGGGCCCCACAGCCTGGACTTCTATGTATCAAGGTTGATCTAACTACTGCTGCCTCTGACTGTCCTACTTTTCAACAGCATAAATCAATAATGAGACTCTTATATGGCAAGTCTTTTGACATTGAATGACCACCTTTTCATCTCAGAGGGATATATCCTTATTCCAGGGCTGGGTTTGGCACTTCTGTTCACAGAGCCTGAGGCAGGACCACTTTTCTGAGGCTTCCAGAATTCCTGATCCACAGGCATAAAATCCCACATGGTATAGCATCTGACCAGGGTTCCTTGTTCACAGCAAAGGATGGGAAGAAGTGGGTCCATGACCATGTAATCTACTATTTGTATTACATACACTCTTCAAGAAGCAGCTAGACTCATGGAGCCCTGGAGAAACATTCTAAAGATGCAACTGAGGCACTATGCTAAAGGAAACATTCTGAATGCAGGGGGCACCATCTTTTATATATATTCTATCACAGATCTTTATATAGTAGTTCTTTTTCCATAGGAAGAATCTACAGGTTCAGAAAACCAGAGGTAGAAACAGGAATGTCCCTAATTACAAATGCTCCCAATAATCTTCTCAGGTTTTCCTGTGCTTCTCATCACTGCAGCTCTGGGATCTGGAAGGCAGGCAAGTCCTGCTCTCTAAAGAATGTTATCTGTTGGTTGCTTTAGATTCCTTAGGTCCAGTAACCAAAAGACAAGAAATACGTCACCAATGGGACAGGATGAATACACCCTGATTAGCAGGAGGAGGTAGGGCTACTTTTCTACAAAAGAAGCAGAGATAATTTCTCTCTTTCTCTCTCTCTCACACACACACACCCACACTCACACACACACACACTCCCCACTCCCATACTCTCTCTCTCTCTTTCTCTCCCCCTCACACAACTGGGCATTCAAAGGCAGTTCTGAGACCAACTGATATAGCATGGGCTAGAGTTGGTCTCATTAACCTTCCTTTTCTAAGATTCCCCTTGGAAAAGAGAGGATCATGGGAATTTTGGAAGAGCTGGTATGAAGAATCTGTTTGGACAAATATGTGTGTGCTGTGGTGGGGTTAGGAGGTGGGGGTAATGGATTTTAATGACCAAGGAAATTTGCAATGCAGATATCCTGAATCAGATAGCATAAGTCAGCGACAGCCTGGCTTTAGCCCTCTGTCTCTGGAAGCACTTCTACACTTGTGCAGCAGTCATGTTTCCAACAGTCATAGAGCTACATGGGGATTGTATGTGAGGACGTTTCCAGTGAGTTGTGAGAGTCTCCAAGGAGTAACTTTAATTTAAGGAGTCCGCAGTGACCTAGGCCAAAGCATTCTTGGAACCATGCTGCAGTCTCTTTCTACCCCAATCAGCCTTCCTTCCCTCTTTCCCTCTACAGGTGTAAGATCTGCACCCTAGTCTGAAGACTCTACCCACCTTCTCCTGCTTCCTCCTTCTTCCCTCTTGCAAATTTAATTCCATGGTGGTGTTTGCCCTTAGCAGATCTAAACATTAATTCAAGTCATATGATCAGATAAGATGAAAAATGACTAAAAATGTCATTCATGACATGTGAGTGGTGAGCTCTGCCTGGCAGTAGGGAGGAGAGAATTCTGAGAGAAATTAATTTGGAAAAAACGATGCTGCACATCCCAGCAAATACCATCCCATCTTATCTCTGCTAGGAATATTTTTTGTAACATGCATATAATTCACTTTTGCTTTATGAAGTAAATTTATATTTTAAGAATACAGCAGCAATTTGAGTGCTGTTCACAGCTAGTGTGAACTGAAATTTGAGGTTGGCTATAGAAGAAGGCCAATGACAGACGGGTTAGTAGAACAAAATGGATATAAATAGGAAAAAGTGAAAAATCAGTAAGACAGTATGTTGGAAAGGAGTACAGTAGTTGGAAGAATTAATGATTCAATATTTCTATAAAGAGTCTCCATTTAGATGATTCAAAGAGTATCCATGAAGAAATGCACATTTTATTGAATATACAGAAGTGTGATTAGTGGTGAAGGAGGGTGAATTCTGTTTGTTATATGACTATGACATGTAGAGAACTTCTCATTCAAGGTGAGTGTGCAAAAATATTACAAAACATGTGGAGAATTAACTATTAGAGAGATAATGAAATAATTATACAAAGAAACCTCCTAGAGATGAATTCACCACAGCAAATATGAGAAATATTATAGCAAACTAAATTTTCCTTTTAAGTGAGTACACTTAGAATTCTCAACTGGCTTTTTAAGAAGAAAACATCCAGGGCCAGGCATGGTGGCTCACGCTTGTAATCCCAGCACCTTGGGAGGCTGAGATGGGTAAATCATCTGAGGTCAGGAGTTCAAGACCAGCCTGGCAAACACCGTGAAACCCCATCTCTACTAAAAATTCAAAAATTAGCAGGGCACGGTGGTGGGTGCATGTAATCCCAGATACTCAAGAAGCTGAGGCAGAAGAATTGCTTGACCCCAGGAGGCGGACTTTGTAGTGAGCCAAGATGGCATCACTGTACTCCAACCTGGGCAACAGAGTGAGCCTCTGCCAAAAAACAAAAGAATAAAATTCATCAAAAAGAATAGAAGACCTAAAAATAAAAACAGACACCGAGTGTGGTGACTCACTCCTGTAATTCCAGCACTTTGTGAGGACGAGTTGGGTGGATCACGAGGTCAGGAGATGAAGACCATCCTGGCTAACACAGTGAAACCCTCTCTCTACTAAAAATACAAAAAAATTAGCCCAGCATGGTGGCGGGCACCTGTAGTCCCAGCTACTCGGGAGGCTGGGGCAGGAGAATAGCGTGAACCTGGGAGGCAGAGCGGGCAGTGAGCTGAGATCGTGCCACTGCACGCCAGCCTGGGCGACAGAGCTAGACTCCATCTAAAAAAAAAAAGAAAAGAAAAAAATATAAATAAAAACAGGCAAAAGGCCAGGCGTAGTGGCTTACGCCTGTAATCCTAACACTTTGGGAGGCCAAGGTGGGTGGATCACCTGAGGTCAGGACTTCAAGACCAACCTGGCCAACATGGCGAAACCATAGCTGGGAATGGTGATGGGTGCCTGCAATCCCAGCTACTTAGAGGCTGAGGTAAGAGAATTGATAGAACCCTGGGGGATTGCAGTGAGCAAAGATCACGCCATTGCACTCTGGCTGGGGCAACAGAGTAAGACTCTGGGGAAAAAAAAAGCAGGCAAAAAAGAACAAAGTAAAGATTGATATAAAAAATTAAAAGCAGCCAGGCGTGGTGGCTCACACCTCTAATCCCAGCACTTTGGTAGGCTGAGGAGGGTGGATCATGATATCAGGAGTTCTAGACCAGGCTGACCAACATAATGAAACCCCGTCTCTACTAAAAATTCAAAAATTAGCTGAGTGTGGTGGCGCATGCCTGTAATTCCAGCCACTCAGGAGGTTGAAGCAGGAGAGGAGGCTGAGGCAGGAGGAGAGTCACTTGAACCCAGGAGTAGGAGGTTGCAGTGAACCGAGATCATGCCACTGCACTTCAGCCTGGGTGACAGAGCAAGACTCCATCTTCAAAAAGGAAAAAAAAAAATAAAAGCTCTAGAAATGAAAATTATATAAAAAAGAAGTGTAAATGCAATAAACACAAAGAATTAGTCAATTGGGAGATAATGATGAATTTATCCAGATAAAAGTATTTAAAAGTCAGAAAGACCAGTCAAGAAAGTCCCCAACACATGTATGATAGGAATTTCAAAAGGAGTCCAAAGAGAATGGAGAAGCCATATTTAAGGACAGTATTCATCCACTCAGCAAACTCTCACTAAGAGCCCACTTTGATGACGTTTCCATTCTAATGGTAGAGAATACTTATACACAAGAAAACACTGTCAATGCCTTCACTATTTGTATACTTTACATGATGCCATAAAATTTCCATTGCAGAGGAAAGACTTGAGGACTCTAATTTAAAGTATAAAACAAGTGCTGAGCAGAAGAAATAAAAATGAATCCATATCCAGACACATTGATGACTCTGAGTTTTAGTGTTTACAAAGCAGTTCTTTAAAATTAATTTTCAGTAAGAAGATGTGTATATCACCTTCACTGTTTTCCTTTTTGTTTTGATCTATTCCTCTTGCTTATTCTAGTTTGAAATGATTTCTTCAAAAAAAGTCTTAAAAGTCTTATCCATTTATGAATCGATTTATATCTTTCATTTTCTAGATTATAATTTTTACTTTTCTGTTATTAATTTCCTTCCATTAGGTATGTTTTTTGATCCTGTATTTACTTACTGACATGAATGATTAACTCATTTATCTTCTCTGGCTTAGTAAAAAAAAAACTGAAAATCTTGAAATTATATATGTTTCTTATTATCTTTCTTAATTATATTGTGTGTAGAGAGGTTTGTTAACTTTTCCAAAAAGTAGATTATTTATTTACAGGTTAGTTGTTTCTTCTTATAGTAATTTCACTTGGAGGATAAATGTTAAAATTTGAAGCACAATAACTTTCTGTTGACCTTTAAAAAAGTATATTTTTATTTGAAAGGTACAGTGTTGGATATTTTTACTAAAATAACATAATTATTTACACACCATCTTATCTAATTACCCTGTTATAGTTCCTATGAACCTTATTATAAACCAGCAATATTTCTTCTGGCCTATATATAAGCTTTTATTTTTATATTTAAATAAAGCTATTTAATGAAAGAAATACCACTGTGTATTTTTAAATTGTAGACAGTAGATTTACTCAAATAAAAATTTCTTCTCTCTTCTAGTTGATAAACTTATTTCTGATTGGCATTTCTCTAGTTTATATATCTACAATCACAGCTGTTTCCTATACTAATGTAATCATTTCTGCATACACGGAGGGTGTCTTATTTACAATATGACATGTAAAATATTTTAACAAGAGTTATGGTTTTGCAATTGTATAGTTTTTATTATTTTCATTTTTCTTTTTTTCATTTTATTTATTTATTTTTTTACTATTATACTTTAAGTTTTAGGGTACATGTGCACATTGTGCAGGTTAGTTACATATGTATACATGTGCCATGCTGGTGCACTGCACCCACTAACTCGTCATCTAACATTAGGTATATCTCCCAATGCTATCCCTCCACCCTCCCCCAACCCCACCACAGTCCCCAGAGTTTGATATTCCCCTTCCTGTGTCCATGTGATCTCATTGTTCAATTCCCACCTATGAGTGAGAATATACGGTGTTTGGTTTTTTGTTCTTGCGATAGTTTCCTGAGAATGATGATTTCCAATTTCATCCATGTCCCTACAAAGGACATGAACTCATCATGTTTTATGGCTGCATAGTATTCCATGGTGTATATGTGCCACATTTTCTTAATCCAGTCTATCATTGTTGGACATTTGGGTTGGTTCCAAGTCTTTGCTATTGTGAATAATGCCGCAATAAACATACATGTGCATGTGTCTTTATAGCAGCATGATTTATAGTCCTTTGGGTATATACCCAGTAATGGGATGGCTGGGTCAAATGGTGTTTCTAGTTCTAGATCCCTGAGGAATCGCCACACTGACTTCCACAATGGTTGAACTAGTTTACAGTCCCAACAACAGTGTCAAAGTGTTCCTATTTCTCCACATCTTCTCCAGCACCTGTTGTTTCCTGACTTTTTAATGATTGCCATTCTAACTGGTGTGAGATGGTATCTCATTGTGGTTTTGATTTGCATTTCTCTGATGGCCAGTGATGGTGAGCACTTTTTCATGTGTTTTTTGGCTGCATAAATGTCTTCTTCTGAGAAGTGTCTGTTCATGTCCTTCGCCCACTTTTTGATGGGTTTGTTTTTTTCTTGTAAATTTGTTTGAGTTCATTGTAGATTCTGGATATTAGCCCTTTGTCAGATGAGTAGGTTGCGAAAATTTTCTCCCATTTTGTATGTTGCCTGTTCACTCTGATGGTAGTTTCTTTTGCTGTGCAGAAGCTCTTTAGTTTAATGAGATCCCATTTGTGAATTTTGGCTTTGGTTGCCATTGCTTTTGGTGTTTTAGACATGAAGTCCTTGCCCATGCCTATGTCCTGAATGGTAATGCCTAGGTTTTCTTCTAGGGTTTTTATGGTTTTAGGTCTAACGTTTACATCTTTAATCCATCTTGAATTGATTTTTGTATAAGGTGTAAGGAAGGGATCCACTTTCAGCTTTCTACATATGGCTAGCCAGTTTTCCCAGCACCATTTATTAAATAGGGAATCCTTTCCCCATTGCTTGTTTTTCTCAGGTTTGTCAAAGATCAGATAGTTGTAGATATGTGGCGTTATTTCTGAGGGCTCTGTTCTGTTCCATTGATCTATATCTCTGTTTTGGTACCAGTACCATGCTGTTTTGGTTACTGTAGCCTTCTAGTATAGTTTGAAATCAGGTAGATGCCTGATTAGTTCTTTTGGCTTAGGATTGACTTGGCGATGCGGGCTCTTTTTTGGTTCCATATGAACTTTAAGGTAGTTTTTTCCAATTCTGCGAAGAACGTCATTGGTAGCTAGATGGGGATGGCATTGAATCTGTAAATTACCTTAGGCAGTATGGTCATTTTCACGTTATTGATTCTTCCTACCCATGAGCATGGAATGTTCTTCCATTTGTTTGTATCCTCTTTTATTTCCTTGAGCAGTGGTTTGTAGTTCTCCTTGAAGAGGTCCTTCACATCCCTTGTAAGTTGGATTCCTAGGTATTTTATTCTCTTTGAAGCAATTGTGAATGGGAGTTCACTCATGATTTGGCTCTCTGTTTGTCTGTTGTTGGTGTATAAGAATGCTTGTGATTTTTGTACATTGATTTTGTATCCTGAGATTTTGCTGAAGTTGCTTATCAGCTTAAGGAGATTTTGGACTGAGACAATGGGGTTTTCTAGATATACAATCATGTCATCTGCAAACAGGGACAATTTGACTTCCTCTTTTCCTAATTGAATACCCTTTATTTCCTTCTCCTGCCTGATTGCCCTGGCCAGAACTTCCAACACTATGTGGAATAGGAGTGGTGAGAGAGGTCATCGCTGTCTTGTGCCAGTTTTCAAAGGGAATGCTTCCAGTTTTTGCCCATTCAGTATGATATTGGCTGTGGGTTTGTCATAGATAGCTCTTATTATTTTGAAATATGTCCCATCAATACCTAATTTATTGAGAGTTTTTAGCATGTAGGGTTGTTGAATTTTGTCAAAGGCTTTTTCTGCATCTATTGAGATAATCATGTGGTTTTTGTCTTTGGTTCTGTTTATATGCTGGATGACATTTATTGATTTGTGTATATTGAACCAGCCTTGCATCCCAGGGATGAAGCCCACTTGATCATGGTGGATAAGCTTTTTGATGTGCTGCTGGATTCTTTTTGCCAGTATTTTATTGAGGATTTTTGCATCAATGTTCATCAAGGATATTGGTCTAAAATTCTCTTTTTTGGTTGTGTCTCTGCCACACTTTGGTATCAGGATGATGCTGGCCTCATAAAATGAGTTAGGGAGGATTCCCTCTTTTTCTATTGATTGGAATAGTTTCAGAAGGAATGGTACCAGTTCCTCCTTGTACCTCTGGTAGAATTCAGCTGTGAATCCATCTGGTCCTGGACTCTTTTTGGTTGGTAAACTATTGATTATTGCCACAATTTCAGCTCCTGTTATTGGTCTACTCAGAGATTCAACTTCTTCCTGGTTTAGTCTTGGGAGAGTGTATGTGTTGAGGAATTTATCCATTTCTTCTAGATTTTCTAGTTTATTTGCATAGAGGTGTTTGTAGTATTTTCTGATGGTAGTTTGTATTTCTGTGGGATAGGTGGTGATATCCCCTTTATCATTTTTTATTGTGTCTATTTGATTCTTCTCTATTTTTTTTCTTTATTAGTCTTGCTAGCGGTCTATCAATTTTGTTGATTCTTTCAAAAAACCAGCTCCTGGATTCATTGATTTTTTGAAGGGTTTTTTGTGTCTCTATTTCCTTCAGTTCTGCTCCGATTTTAGTTATTTCTTGCCTTCTGCTAGCTTTTGAATGTGTTTGCTCTTGCTTTTCTAGTTCTTTTAATTGTGATGTTAGGGTGTCAATTTTGGATCTTTCCTGCTTTCTCTTGTGGACATTTAGTGCTATAAATTTCCCTCTACACACTGCTTTGAATGCGTCCCAGAGATTCTGGTATGTTGTGTCTTTGTTCTCATTGGTTTCAAAGAACATCTTTATTTCTCCCTTCATTTCGTTATGTACCCAGTAGTCATTCAGGAGCAGGTTGTTCAGTTTCCATGTAGTTGAGCGGCTTTGAGTGAGATTCTTAATCCTTAGTTCTAGTTTGATTGCACTGTGGTCTGAGAGATAGTTTGTTATAATTTCTGTTCTTTTATATTTGCTGAGGAGAGCTTTACTTCCAAGTATGTGGTCAATTTTGGAATAGTTGTGGTGTGGTGCTGAAAAAAATGTATATTCTGTTGATTTGGAGTGGAGAGTTCTGTAGATGTCTATTAGGTCCTCTTGGTGCAGAGCTGAGTTCAATTCCTGGGTATCCTTGTTGACTTTCTGTCTCATTGATCTGTCTAATGTTGACAGTGGGGTGTTAAAGTCTCTCATTATTAATGTGTGGGAGTCTAAGTCTCTTTCTAGGTCACTCAGGACTTGCTTTATGAATCTGGGTGCTCCTGTATTGGGTGCATATATATTTAGGATAGTTAGCTCTTCTTGTTGAATTGATCCCTTTACCATTATGTAATGGCCTTCTTTGTCTCTTTTGATCTTTGTTGGTTTAAAGTCTGTTTTATCAGAGACTAGGATTGCAACCCCTGCCTTTTTTTGTTTTCCATTTGCTTGGTAGATCTTCCTCCATCCTTTTATTTTGAGCCTATGTGTGTCTCTGCATGTGAGATGGGTTTCCTGAATACAGCACACTGATGGGTCTTGACTCTTTATCCAATTTGCCAGTCTGTGTCTTTTAATGATGCTTATTCTCTCTTTTTCTCTTTCATAATTTACTATACCTTCATCCATCTTTCTTTCTTTCTTTCTTTCTTTCTTTCTTTCTTTCTTTCTTTCTTTCTTTCTTTCTTTTTTGCGACAGAGTCTCCCTCTGTCACCCAGGCTGGAGTGAAGTGGTGCAATCTCGGCTCACTGCAAGCTCTGCCTCCCGGGTTCACACCATTCTCCTGCCTCAGCTTCCTGAGTAGCTGGGACTACAGCCATCTGCCACCATGCCCCGCTAATTTTTTGCATCTTCAGTAGAGACGGGGTTTCACTGTGTTAGCCAGGATGGTCTCCATCTCCTGACCTCGTGATCTGCCCGCCTTGGCCTCCCAAAGTGCTGGGATCACAGGCATGAGCCACTGCACCCAACCTTTTTTTTTTTTTTAGACAGGTTTTGCTCTGTTGTCCCAGGCTGCAGTCCAGCAGTGAGATCTAACCTCACTTCAACCTCCGCCTCCAGGTTCAAGCGATTTTCCTGCCTCAGTCTCTGGAGTAGCTGGGATTACAGGCACCCACCACCATGCACAGCTAATTTTTGTATTTTTAGTAGAGATGACATTTCGCCATGTTGGCTAGGCTTGTCTCCAAATCCTGACCTCAGGTGATCCACCCAGCTCGGCCTCCCAAATTACTGGAATTACAGGCACAAGCCACTGTGCCCAGCCCAGTCCTTGTATTTTTAAGGTTTCATTTGTGTATTTTCTTTAGGAAAATATTTCAATAATTTATCACTGCAATTAGCTGAAGTTATAAAATTACTTCTGGATTTGGGAAGATTATACCTGAGCATGGCAAAGGATTAGAAATAATAGCTAGCAGCTGGGTGCAGTGGCTCACGCCTGTAATCCCAGCACCTTGGGAGGCCAAGGCAGGCAGATCAGAAGGTCAAGAGACATAGACCATTTTGGCCAACATAGTGAAACCCCATCTCTACTTAAAAAATAAAATTAAAAAAAAAATAGCTTGGCGTGGTGGTGCATGCCTGTAATCCTAGCTACTCAGGAGGCTGAGACAAGAGAATCGCTTGAACTTGGGAGGCAGAGGTTGCAATGAGCCAAGGTTGCGCCACTGCACTGCAACCTGGAGACACAGCAAGACTCCATCTCAAATAAATAAATAAATAAATAAATAAATAAATAAATAAATAATAGTTAACTTTTTCTATCTGTCAGGCACTGCGCTAAATACTTTGCATGAAGATGATAATTTCGAAACTAAACACAGAAGAGCAAGTGTAAAAGAAGTAATTTCTTCTTTTCTTTTCTTTTTTTTTTATTTTTTGTTTGAGACAGTCTCGCTCTGTGGTCCAAGCTGGAGTGCAGTGGCGGGATCTCGGCTCACTTCAACCTCCACATCCCGAGTTCAAGCAAATCTCCTGCCTCAGCCTCATGAGTAGCTGGGATTACAGACATCCACCACCACAGACAGCTAATTTTTTCTTTGTATACTTTTATTTAATTCGGCTTAGGTTACTTGTTTATTAGTAGTAGTTTTGCATCTATGGGATTGTTGTATAAAATAAATGGTTTAAATATGTAGGATATTTAAAAGTCATTCTTTCTGCATTTGAGATTTTGAGCCTTTAAAGAGGGCAATATACGGGTAGAGACACAACCAAAAAAGAGAATTTTAGGCCAATATCCTTGATGAACATTGATGCAAAAATCCTCAATAAAATACTTGCAAAACGAATCCAGCAGCACATCAAAAAGCTTATCCACCATGATCAAGTGGGCTTCATCCCTGGGATGCAAGGCTGGTTCAATATACACAAATCAATAAATGTAATCCAGCTTATAAACAGAACCAAAGACAAAAACCACATGATTATCTCAATAGATGCAGAAAAGGCCTTTGACAAAATTCAACAACCCTTCATGCTAAAAACTCTCAATAAATTAGGTATTGATGGGACGTATTTCAAAATAATAAGAGGTATCTATGACAAACCCACAGCCAATATCATACTGAATGGGCAAAAACTGGAAGCATTCCCTTTGAAAACTGGCACAAGACAGCGATGACCTCTCTCACCACTCCTATTCCACATAGTGTTGGAAGTTCTGGCCAGGGCAATCAGGCAGGAGAAGGAAATAAAGGGTATTCAATTAGGAAAAGAGGAAGTCAAATTGTCCCTGTTTGCAGATGACATGATTGTATATCTAGAAAATCCCATTGTCTCAGCCCAAAATCTCCTTAAGCTGATAAGCAACTTCAGCAAAATCTCAGGATACAAAATCAATGTACAAAAATCACAAGCATTCTTATACACCAACAACAGACAAACAGAGAGCCAAATCATGAGTGAACTCCCATTCACAATTGCTTCAAAGAGAATAAAATACCTAGGAATCCAACTTACAAGGGATGTGAAGGACCTCTTCAAGGAGAACTACAAACCACTGTTCAAGGAAATAAAAGAGGATACAAACAAATGGAAGAACATTCCATGCTCATGGGTAGGAAGAATCAATATCATGAAAATGACCATACTGCCCAAGGTAATTTGCAGATTCAATGCCATCCCCATCTAGCTACCAATGACTTTCTTCACAGAATTGGAAAAAACTACTTTAAAGTTCATATGGAACCAAAAAAGAGCCCGCATCACCAAGTCAATCCTAAGCCAAAAGAACAAAGCTGGAGGCATCACACTACCTGACTTCAAACTATACTAGAAGGCTACAGTAACCAAAACAGCATGGTACTGGTACCAAAACAGAGATATAGATCAATGGAACAGAACAGAGCCCTCAGAAATAATGCCACATATCTACAACTATATGATCTTTGACAAATCTGAGAAAAACAAGCAATGGGGAAAGGATTCCCTATTTAGTAAGTGGTGCCGGGTAAACTGGCTAGCCATACGTAGAAAGCTGAAAGTGGATCCCTTCCTTACACCTTATACAAAAATCAATTCAAGACGGATTAAAGACTTAAACGTTAGACCTAAAACCATAAAAACCCTAGAAGAAAACCTAGGCATTACCATTCAGGACATAGGCATGGGCAAGGACTTCATGTCTAAAACACCAAAAGCAATGGCAACCACAGTCAAAATTGACAAATGGGATCTAATTAAACTAAAGAGCTTCTGCACAGCAAAAGAATCTACCATCAGAGTGAACAGGCAACCTACAAAACGGGAAAAAATTTTCGCAACCTACTCATCTGACAAGGAGCTAATATCCAGAATCTACAATGAACTCAAACAAATTTACAAGAAAAAAACAAACAAACCCATCAAAAAGTGGGCGAAGGACATGAACAGACACTTCTCAGAAGAAGACATTTATGCAGCCAAAAAACACATGAAAAAATGCTCACCATCACTGGCCATCAGAGAAATGCAAATCAAAACCACAATGAGATACCATCTCACACCAGTTAGAATGGCAATCATTAAAAAGTCAGGAAACAACAGGTGCTGGAGAGGATGTGGAGAAATAGAAACACTTTTACACTGTTGGTGGGAATGTAAACTAGTTCAACCACTGTGGAAGTCAGTGTGGCGATTCCTCAGGGATCTAGAACTAGAAATACCATTTGACCCAGCCATCCCATTACTGGGTATATACCCAAAGGACTATAAATCATGCTGCTATAAAGACACATGCACACGTATGTTTATTGTGGCACTATTCACAATAGCAAAGACTTGGAACCAACCGAAATATCCAACAATGATAGACTGGATTAAGAAAATGTGGCACATATACACCATGGAATACTATGCAGCCATAAAAAATGATGAGTTCATGTCCTTTGTAGGGACATGGATGAAATTGGAAATCATCATTCTCAGCAAACTATCACAAGAACAAAAAACCAAACACCGCATATTCTCACTCATAGGTGGGAATTGAACAATGAGATCACATGGACACAGGAAGGGGAACATCACACTCTGGGGACTGTGGTGGGTTGGGGGGAGGGGGGAGGGATAGCATTGGGAGATATTCCTAATGCTAGATGACGAGTTAGTGGGTGCAGTGCACCAGCATGGCACATGTATACATAAGTAACTAACCTGCACAATGTGCACATGTACCCTAAAACTTAAAGTATAATAATAATAATAATAAAGTACATCACAAAAAAATAAATAAAGAGGGCATTATAAAATGCCTCATGGAAAAAATATTATTTTAACAATTATTAAAGTAAAATTAAAATTTGTGGCTCATAAAGACATACTTCATTTTTATCCTCTATTTTTTTTACAAATGGGACTTGAATATTTTAAGATAAAATTTTAAAAAATCAAGTAATTTTAATCGGAAATTTCAAAAAAATAAAACCCTGAATCCAATTCAAATTTCACTTACTTGAAAATTCTCACTGATATAAATTTATTTATATAAATGTGATATAACCAATAAAGATATGCAATAGAGTCATTGTTAATTTGGGTAAAAAAATTTTAAAAACAATGCAAACTTGTATTACCTCCATATGTATGTATGTACACATATACACATATATGAATATTCATATATATATTTGCGTACACACACCATATATATACCTGTGTATAAATGAATAACAATGGAATATCAGTTGGCCTCTACTACAACATTTGAAGGCCCATTGCACAATGGCCAGAACAGAGACGACATCGGAATGCAACTTAAAATTTCCAAGATGACTTGAATTGTATCTGAATTTCTAACAGGGCATAGAGAAATTAAAATCTTGTTTGATTATGCTTCTTTGTTTATTACTGGGAGAGCCTCACATGCAAAGCAGATCAGGATATTCTCTTACCAAATGTGTTAATTAACAGTCAGTTCATAATGTAAGGGTGACTCAAATAGCAGATTCAATATCAAACAGGAAGGGCTTTTGTAGCCCGTTCTATTTTCGGTCAACCACAAACCACCCACCCCTGCTGGGTTAGGTACCGGGTCTGCAAAAGACATAGTGTGCCACCCACAAACACACAAGTTCAAGGAGCGTGGCTCAATCCTTCAGAAAATTGGTTCTAACTTTCAAATCATTAGGGATCTTCTTTATAAAAGATATAGCAAACAAAAACACAAAATATACCCCTCTAAGATTATTAGGAAGTTAAAAAAAAGTGACTTGTAACTTTTAATAAATAACTAGGGAGGTAAGCTTGTTCATTTCTGAGATTCACAACTTTTATAAAGGTGCTGTATTAATACTTGAATTGTGCTATGTTCAATAGAAGCAATGAGACATAAGCCATACTGAGAGAAGAAAAAAATTTTACAACAAGAAAATCTAATGTTGTTTAATTTCTTTAAATATTTATTAATTTCTGAATGCTATGTGATTGCTTTCATATTAATTTTTCAGTAGAGAAATTAAATACAATTGAATACAATTTCTCAGTTGAGAAATTAAATGCAATGGATTTTAGTGTGTGATGACATACTTGATGGGATAATTTTAAAATCATTATTTTAATTAGATATAATACTTTTAGGTAGAATAATAAAAATAAAGGAAAACCGATTTTCTTTAAATTCCATCAATTATTTCTTTCTCACAATAATTAATATGTAATTTACCAATGATGTAGTAGATTAATACCAAATTCTCTTACTTTTGGTTTCATCAAAAAATGATGAGCATTTTTCTCTGATTGATGTTTAGTTACTTTCAGATGGCTTGTAATCTTGTACTTTCAACATTGAAGATTTTTTTCACATATTGATACCTATCATTTTATGATATATCTGATTTTATAATTATGTATTCATTGTTTTCAAATGAGAGTTATGGTTGTATACAGTAAGAATTATAATAGAGGAAGTTATCTGTTGCTTCAGGAATTTAAATAAGAGAAGACATAAAGATCTCAGCCTTTGTATCAATATTTTAATTGGATCCTGAAAAATGAATGAAGACAGACAGAAAACAAGTAAAAAATGGTCTAAGCAGATGAAATAGAAGGAGTAAAAGGAGAGTAATAGAAAAGTGTGTGTGTCTTTGAAGGAACATAACCTGTTCTGGGTGTGGCTACAGCACAGGTTTGTGAAGGAAAATGTTAAATGATTGAGGAGAATGTCTCTCAATATCAGTGATTTTGTATTTTACCCTTCAATGATGGGACATAAGTAAACAATTTTTAAAAGCATAGTGGGTGTGTGTATATATAAATATATAGCATATATATAGTATATAGCATGTCTATACTTATACTATATACATACATATAGTGTGTATGTATATATGTATATATAGTATGTATATATAGTATATGTATATGTATATGTATATAGTATAGTATATGTATAGTATATGTATAGTGTATGTATATAGTATATGTATAGTATATGTATATATAGTATATATATATATACTTATTTTCATTCTGGATAGAAGTTTTTGAGATGCAGTTAGAAGAAAAAGTCAGAAAGAATAGTCAAGATTATTCCAGAAGTACAGGCATGATGTGATGAATGACTAAATTAAAACATTAGCAGCAACACAGAAGAGAAATGGCGGAATAGAAAGGTAATTCAAAGTAGAAAGAGCTGAACTTAATAATTCATTTAGAAGGAATAGTCAAGGTATATATACTCTAAATTTTCTTGGCGACTGGCTTGATATTATCATCATTAGCTGAGATGGGCAATGCTTTAAAAGAAATAGATTTATTTGCCAAAATATAAAATGTGTTTATGGCTATGTCAAATTTGAGATGCAGGTGGTGAAGACAGGGGGGGAGAATCAGTTGACATTTGAAAATATAGGTTTGAAACCTACAGGAAAATATTGGAGTAAAAAAAAATAAAGAAAATCAAACATCAAAGGAAATGCTGGAAGTGTGGGAATTGATAAAAGGAGCACAGGAAAAGTGTGCAGAGCGTTGTTACCCAAAGTGCTGTGGGAATTTTATACACATATGAATACAGCTCACAAAACACACAAATATTTTTGCTTCCCTGGATCATTTAC
This sequence comes from Homo sapiens, assembly GCF_000001405.40. Taxonomy (NCBI): domain Eukaryota; kingdom Metazoa; phylum Chordata; class Mammalia; order Primates; family Hominidae; genus Homo; species Homo sapiens. Next base: position 15,377,905 of record NC_000018.10, read on the forward strand.
TGGAGTCTTTTACATACACATTCTGAAGTATAAGGTATGCAGAATTTTCTAAGCGTATCATAGAATTCCATTCCAAGAATACATTTCAGGAAAACTATTGTCAATCAGGGAAACATTGGTGCAGAATAGTAAGAAAAGAAATACCCATTAAGACTAGTAGTTACACAGTGGACATGAAAATACTAGGCAGCAAGGAGTTATTAAAAAGAAAGCATGGGCTGGGCATTGTGGCTCATGCCTATAATCCCAGCACTTTGGGAGGCCGAGGCGGGCGGATCACCTGAGGTTGGGAGTTTGAGACCAGCCTGACCAACATGAAGAAACCCCATCTCTACTAAAAATACAAAATTAGCTGGGCATGGTGGCACATGCTTGTAATCGCAGCTACTCGGGAGGCTGAGGAAGGAGAGTCTCTTGAACCTGGGAGGCGGAGGTTGCAGTGAGCTGAGATCACACTGTTGCACTCCAGCCTGGGTGAAAAGAGGGAAACTTCGTCTCAAAAAAAAAAAAAAAAAAAAAAGAAAGAAAAAAATAAAAGAAAAAAGAAAAAAATGAAAGCATGGGGCCAACATTGAGTGGTCTTAAGGAAGTCAAGGTAGAAGGAAATTTAAAGAAGGAAATGAGAAGCAATGCAGAATGTTTAGAAAGGTCAATTAGGAAGCTCCCATAAATATTCTCACTATGTATTATAGGGAATTCATTTATAACTTCAAAAATACCACTCAAAAAAGATGGTAATTGTTGAAATGAGATTTCAATGGGTGAAAGAGGCTGGGCACAGTGGCTCATGCCTGTAATCCCAGCACTTTGGGAGGCCGAGGTGGATGGATCACGATGTCAGCAGTTCAAGACCAGCCTGGCCAAGATGTGAAACCCCATCTCTACTAAAAATACAAAAATTAAACGGGCATGGTGTTGGGCGCCTGTAATCCTAGCTACTTGGGAGGCTGAGACAGGAGAATCGCTTGAACCCGGGAGGTGGAGGTCGCAGTGAGCCGAGATGATGCCACTGCACTCCAGCCTGGGTGACAGAGCAAGAGAAAGAAAAGAGAAAAGAAAACAGAAGAGAAGAAAGAAAAGAAGGACGGAAGGGATTTTAAAAAGAGATGAGAAGTCAGCATACTGTTTTGGAGGAAGTGTAATTTATGATTGTGGCTATAACTTGCTATGAATGGAAACAGCAACACACCACTGGATTTCAACTTTTGAGTGCTTAAGAAGGTGGAGATGGTGATTAAAATAATAATAATAATAATAATAATAATAATAATAATGCTAAGTGTGTAATAGTTGCTAAGTGTGTGGTGTCTGAACCCAGCATATCAGGATGTCTGGAACTGGGATTGAATCCCAGCTCTTCCACTTTCTGGTTATGTGAGTGACTGTAGGCAAATTACTTAATCTTTTAATGCTCCATTTTCCTATATGTAAAATGAGAATTATAATAGTAAACTACTTCATGGCTTGTGAGGATGAAGTGCATGTAGAGTACTTAGTGAGTTCTCTTTGTGTATTATGTATTAGTTTCAAAATGCAGATTCTAGAGCCCTTAGATTCTCATTCAATAGGTATGAGGCAAGCACGGGCCAGGATTCTGCATTCTTTAAGGAGGTGTAATTTCCTACATCTGCTGTGACAAAGTGGTTCACATTAGGTCGCTTAAAATGAGATAAAGTTATTCTTTTACGGTTCAGGAAGCTAGAAATCTTAAATGAAGGAGTTAGCAGTGCTGCATTTTTCTCTGAAGGACCTGGGAAAAAATCCTTTCTTGCTTCTTCTAGCACCAGGTGATCACTGAGCTTCATTGTCATTGCTTGGCTGGAGGATACCTCACTTTATTCTCTACCTCCATCCTCATATGGCCATCTCCTCCCTGCGTCTCTGTTTCCTCTTCCCTTCTTATGAGGATATCAACCATATTGAATTATGGCCCACTCTAATGCATTATGAGCTCATCTAGCATATCATAATTATACAGCATCTGCAAATAATTTGATTTCAAATTAAGTCATACTCACAGACATCAGGGGCTAGAACTCTAATATATATATTTTCTTTTTGAAGACACAATCTAACCCACAAAAGGAGGGGAGCCGCTTAAGATCATAAAAAACTCAAGTAACAAGACTGTGTGTTTAAAATAGCATTTAAATTTCTCCAAATGGCAGACAGCTTAATTCAGATCAATACCAATCAGGAGATAAACAAGTGTTTGTCTCCTGATTGGCATTTACCTGAGATTAAAACATCATGGTAAAATACATTATCTTCAGTGATCTTTGGTTTAGGTGAGCATTCACAAGGCACACAGTTATTATCACTTGAGCCATCTCTCTCTAATAACTCTTTTCTAATCTGCTGGCCAACAATATCAGGTTCTTTCAAATCTCTGATTATTGGACCAAACAATAAGGTCCCCCACGTGAATTGGTAGAAATATTTTTTACAAAGGTAAATGAAATTTTATTTACTTGGTGGATTTCTCTTCTCCTTTGTACAAAGAGGTGACCCTTTGACAGCACAGGAAAAGAATATGATAGAAATAGACTTTCAGAAGGAAGGGCCTTCCATAACAAGGAATGCCATCTGTAATCCAGACTTTTTCTCCTCAGGAATCCAGTCATAGGCAAATCTCTATGAATCACAGATAAATAGAAAGAAGGGTGGGAGTGTGTCAGGAGTAGGATGCTGAAAATGTGAGTAGCCTGTTCATTAATTGGTCCCTTGGAAACTGAGAAGATTTGCTTGCGTGGCATACATGCAATTTCCATGGAATGATGGAAGACTGGTTGTAGTTAGTATGATCCTATAATGCTCAGATCACAATGGGGTCACCCTTATTCATGATTGAGCATTCCTTCTTATTAGTATCGCAATGTGAAATTGTTTCTCAAAAAAGGAGGGGGCGGGTAATTTTTGTACAAAAGGCTTTTACTCCAAAATGAAGTGGCTTGTACTGTATTTCTCCTCTGGAGCCTTGCCGCTGGCTCCATAGGAAAATTCTGCCTCTCATAGATACCTGAGGCATTAGATTCCCTAAACAAAATTGTAGATCCACTTGTACTGCAGGCCTCTGTAGTCCAAAACGTTTCTCTTTCTCTGAGTCCCATTCACAGCTGACATCCTTCTTGACATTTGCATTTTATTTAGAATACACATCCAAATATGTTTTATGTTGCCTCTAACATTCAAAAGAGCCTCTAACAGTCTTCCTTTCCCTATCCCTTCCTTCCATTTGAAAGATGTTTGCTCCATATCACTTTCTACTACATTCTTAGACTCCCTGAAGGTAGGAAACCCACATTTTTGTCATTTGCTCGATGTGTCTTTCCTGAAGTCTATGGTAGCTGCTATTTTTCTCTAGAGCATATCAACCGGATGCTGTCCATGTATTCCATAAGTTATGTCCGTTTGGCTAGTGACATGGCCAGGGTTCCTCAGTACAAAATTGTGACACAGACAAAAATAGTTATACTTCTACAGCTAAATAGTGAAGACACTCTGCCTGGAAAAAGTAAGAAATTTCAGGTATTTACCATTTATTTAAGGTACAGAAAAATAATTTGCCTAAATGTATAGTAGGAAAAGGAGATAAGTGTATTCACTAAAGCAAGGAGACTACATCTGGATTTAAAATGTGTGCCCTCAGATAGGATTCCAGTACACAGTGGCTGGATTCTGAGTGTTTGTCCCTCACACAGGATTACAGAACACTGCCACGAGGTTCTGAATGGAAAAGGAAATATCTTCACATAAAGACAAGAAAGAAGCATTCTGAGAACTTCTTTGTGATGTGTGCATTCACCTCACAGAGTTGAACTTTTCTTTTGATTTAGCACTTTTGAAATACTCTTTTTGTAGTGTCTGCAAGTGGATATTTGGAACGCTTTACAGCCTATGGTGGAAAAGTAAATATCTTCACATCAAAACCAGACAGAAGCATTCTGAGAAACTCCTCTGTGATCTGTGCATTCATCTCACAGAGTTGAATGTTTCTCTTGATTGAGCAGTTTTGAAACACTCTTTTTGTAGAATCAGCAAGTGGATATTTTGAGTGCTTTGGGGCCTATGGTGGAAAAGGAAATATCTTCACATAAAAACTAGACAGAAGCATTCTGAGAAACTTCTTTGTGATGTGTGCATTCAACTCACAGAGTTGAAATATTCTTTTGATTGAGCAGTTTTGAAACACTCTTTTTGTAATATCTGCAAAGTTGGAGGGCTTTGGGACCTCTAGAGGAAAGGGAAATATCTTCCCTTAAAAACTAGACAGAAGCATTCTGAGAAACTTCTTTGTGATGTGTGCATTCATCTCACAGAGTTGAACATTTCTTTTGATTGAGCAGCTTTGAAACACTCTTTTTGTAGAATCTGCAAGTGGACATTGGGAGCGATTTGAGGCCTATGGAGGAAAAGGAAACATCTTCACATAAAAACTACACAAATGCCTTCTGAGAAACTTCTTTGTAATGTGTGCATTCATCTCACAGAATAGAACTTTTATTTTGATCGAACAGTTTTGAAACACTTCTTTTGAAGGATCTGCATGTGGATATTTGGATCAGTTTGGGGCCTGTGGTGGAAAAGGAAATATCTTCAAATAAAAACTACACAGAAGCGTTCCGAGAAAGTTCTTTGTGATGTGTGCATTCAACTCACATAGTTGAAGATTTCTTTTGATTGAGCAGTTTTGAAACAATCTTTTTGTAGTATTTGCAAGTGGATATTTGGAGCGGTTTGAGGCCTATTGTAGAAAAGGAAATATCTTCACATAAATACTAGACAGAAGCATTCTGAGAAACTTCTTTGTGATGTGTGCATTCATCTCACAGAGTTGAAACTTTGATTGAGCAGTTTTGAAACACTCTTTTTGTAGAATCTGCAAGTGGATACTTGGAGTGCTTTGAGCCCAGTGGTGGAAAAGGAAGTATCTTCAATTAAAAACTAGACAGAAGCATTCTGAGAAACTTCTTTGTGATGTGTGCATTCAACTCACAGAGTTTAAACTTTCTTTTGATTGAGGAGTTTGGAAAATCTCTTTTTGTAGAATCTGCAAGTGGATATTTGGAGCACTTTGTGGCCTATAGTGGAAAGGGAAATATCTTCACATAAAAACTAGACAGAAGCCTTCTGAGAAACTCCTTTGTGATGTGTGCATTCATGTCTCAGAGATGAACCTTTCTTTTGATTGAGCAGTTTTGAAACACTCTTTTTGTAGAATCTGCAAGTGGATATTTGGAGCGCTTTGTGGCCAATGGTGGTAAAAGGAAACATCTTCACATAAAAACTAGACAGAAGCATTCTGAGAAACTTCTTTGTGATTTGTGCATTCAGCTCACAGAGTTGAAACTTTCTTTTGATTGAGCAGTTTGAAACACTCTTTTTGTACGATCTGCAAGTGGATAATTGGAACGCTTTAAGGTCTACAGTGGAGAAGGAAATATCTTCACATAAAAACTACACAGAAGCATTCTGAGAAACTTCTTTGTGATTTGTGCATTCAACACACAGAGTTGAACCTTTCTTTTGATTGAGCAGTTTGAAACTCTCGTTTTGTAAAATCTGCGAGTGGATATTTGGAGCGCCTTAAGGTCTATGGTGGAGAAGGAAATATCTTCACATAAAAACTGGACAGAAGCATTCTGAGAAACTGCTTTGTGATGTGTGCATTCATCTCACAGAATTGAAACTTTCTTTTGATTGAGCAGATTTGAAGCACACTTTTTGTGGAATGAACAAGTGGATATTTGGAGGGTTTCAAGACCTATGGTGGAAACGGAAATATCTTCACCTAAAAACAACACAGAAGCAGTCTGAGGAACTTCTTTCTGATGTGTACATTCATCTCACAAAGTTGAACATTTCTTTGGATTCAGCAGTTTTGAAAAACACTTTTTGTAGTATCTGCAAATGGATATTTGGAGTGCTTTGGGGCCTATGGTGGAAAGGGAAATATCTTCACCTAAAAACTACACAGAATCATTCTGAGAAACTTCTTTGTGATGTGTGCATTCATCTCACAGAGTTGAACCTTTCTTTTGATTGAGAAGTTTTGAAACATTCTTTTTGTGGAATCTGCAAGTGGATATTTTTAACGCTTGGCAGCCTATGGTGGAAAAGGAAATATCTTCATATAAAAACTAGACAGAGGCATTTCGAGAAGCTCCTTTGTGATGTGTGCATTCATCTCACAGTGTTGAACATTTCTTTTGATTTAGCTGCTTTCAAATATTCTTTTTGCAGAATCTGCAAGTGGATATTTGAAGCGCTTTGAGGCCTATGGTGGAAAAGGGTCTGCAAGTGGACATTTGGAGAGCTTTGAGACCTAAGGCGGAAAACAAAATATTTTCTTATTATAATTAGACAGAAGCATTCTGAGAAAGTTCTTTGTGATATGTGCATTCATCTCACAGAGTTGAAACTTTCTTATGATTGAGCAGTTTTGACACACTCTTTTTGTAGAATCTCCAAGTGGACATTTGGAGCGCTTTGCGGACTATGGTGGAAATGGAAATTTCTTCACATAAAAACTGTTCAGAAACATTCTGAGAAACTTCTTTGTGATGTGTCCATTCATCTGACAGAGTTGAGTCTTTCTTTTGATTGAGCAACTTGGAAACTCTCTTTTTGTAGAATCTGCTAGTGGACAATTGGAGTGCTTTGCAGCCTGTGGTGGAAAACGAAATATCTTCACGTAAAAACTAGAAAGAAGAATTCTGAGAAACTTCTTCGTGATGTATGCATTCATCTCACAGAGTTCAACATAACTTTCAATTGAACAGTTTTGAAACCCTCTTTTTATAGGAGCAGCAAGTGGACATTTGGAGGCCTTTGAGGCCTATGGTGGGAAAAAAATATCTTCTCATTATAACTAGACAAAAGCATTCTGAGAAACTTCTTTGTGATGTGTGCATTCATCACACAGAGTTGAACCTCTCCTTAGATTGAGCAGCTTTGAAACACTCTTTTTGTAGAATCTGTAAGTGGACATTTGGAGTACTTTGAGGGTGATGGTCAATAACGAAATATCTTCACTTAATAACTAGACAGAAGCATTCTGTGAAACTACTTTGTGATGTGTGCATTCATCTCATAGAGTTGAACATTTCTTTTGATTGAGCAGCTTTGAAACACTCTTTTTGTAGAACCTGCAAGTGGATATTTGGAGCGCTTTGAGACCTATGGTGGAAAAGGAAATATCTTCACATAAAAACTATACAGAAACATTCTGACAAATTTCTTTGCGATTGGTGTATTCATGTCACAGAATTGAACCTTCCTTTTAATTGAGCAGTTTTGAAACACTCTTTTTGTAGAATCGGCAAATGGATATTTGGAGAGCTTTGAGGCCTATGGTGGAAAAGGAAATATCTTTACATAAAAACTAGACAGAAGCATTCTGAGAAACTTGTTCGTGATCTGTGCATTCGTCTCACAGAGTTGAACCTTTCTTTTGATTCAGAAGTTTGGAAACACTCTTTTTGTAGATTCTGCAAGTGAACATTTGGAGCTCTTTGAGGTCTATGATCGAAAAGGAAATATCTTCACACACAAAAAAAGACAGAAGCATTCGGTCAAACTACTTTGTGATATGTGCATTCATATCATGGAGTTGAACCTTACTTTTGATTCAGCATTTTTGAAACACCCTTTTTGTACTATCTGCAAGTGGACATTTGGAGTGCTTTGAGGCCTATGGTGGAAAAGGAAATATCTTCACATAAAAACTAGACAGAAACATTCTGACAACTTTCTTTGTAATGTGTGCATTCATCTCACAGAGCTGAACCTTTATTTTGATTGAGTAGTTTGGAAACTCTCTTTTTGTTGATCTGCAAGTGGACATTTGGAGTGCTTTGAGGCCTGTGGTGAAAAGGAAATATCTTCACATATAAACTAGACAGAAGCTTTCTGAGCAACTTCTTTGTGATGTATGGATTCATCTCACAGAGTTGAACATTTCTTTGTATTGAGCAGGTTTGAATCACTCTTTTTTAGAATCTGCAAGTGGACATTTGGAGAGCTTTGTGGCCTATGGTGGAAAAGGAAATATCTTCCCATAAAAACTAGATATAATCATCCTGAGAAAATTCTTTGTGATGTATGTATTCATCACAGAGAGTTGAACCTTTGTTTTCATTGAGCAGTTTTGAAACACTCTTTTTGTAGAATCTGCAAGTGGACATTTGGAGCGCTTTGAGGCCTATGGTGGAAAAGGAAACATCTTCACATAAGCACTAGACAGAAGCATTCTGAGAAACATCTTTGTGTTGTGTGCATTCATCTCACAGAGTTGAACACTTCTTTTGATTGAGCAGTTTGGAAACACTCTTTTTGTAGAATCTGTAAGGGGACATGTGGAGCTCTTTGAGGCCTGAGGTGGAAAAGGATATATCTTCACAAAAAAACTTGGTAGAAGCATTCTGACAAACCTATTTGCGATATGTGCATTCATCTCACAGAGTTGAACCTTACTTTTGATTCAGCAGTTCTGAAAAACCCTTTTGGTACTATCTGCAAATGGACATTTTGTGTGGTTTGAGGCCTACAGTGGAAACGGAAATATGTTCACATAAAAATTAGACAGAAGCATTCTGACAAATTACTTTGTGATGTATGCATTCGTCTCACAGAGTTGATCATTTCTTTTGAGTGAGTAGTTTGGAAGCTCTCCTTTTGTAGCATCTGCAAGTGGACATTTTGAGCGCTTTGAGGCCTATGGTGGAAAAGGAAATATCTTCACATAAATATTAGACAGAAGCATTCTGACAAATTCTTTGTGATGTGTGCATTCATCTCAGAGAGTTGAACCTTTCCTTCGATTGTGTAGTTTTCAAACACTCTTTCTGTAACATCTGCAAGTGGACATTTGGAACACTTTGAGGCCTATGGTGGAAAAGGAAATATCTTCATAGAGAAGCTAGACAGAAATATTCTGAGAAATTTCTTTGCGATGTGGGCATTCATCTCACAGAGTTGAACTTTCTTTTGATTGAGCAGTTTTGAAACACTCTTTTTGTAGAATCTGCAAGTGGATATTTGGAGCACTTTGCGGCATATGGTGGAAAAGGAAGTATCTTCACTTAAATACTAGACAAAAGAATTCTGACAAACTTCTTTGTGATGTGTGCATTCATCTCAGGGTATTGAACCTTACTTTTGATTGAGAAGTTTTGAAGCCCACTTTTTGTAGAATCTACAAGTTGATATTTGGAGCACTTTTAGGCCTACGGTGCAAAAGGAAATATCTTCACATAAGAACTAGACAGAAGCATCCTGAGAAACTTCTTTGTGATGTTTTCATTCAACCCACAGAGTTGAATCTTACTTTTGGCTGAGCAGTTTGGAAACACTCTTTTTGTAGAATCTGCAAGCGGACATTTTGTTCGCTTTGAGGCCTATGGTGGAAAAGGAAATATCTTCACTTAAGATCTAGACAGAAGCATTCTGAGAAACTTCTTTGGATGTGTGCAGTCATCTCACAGAGTTGAACATTTCAAAAGTTGAGCACCTTTGAAACATTATTTTTGTAGGATCTGCATGTGGACCTTTGGAGCGCCTTGAGGCCTATGGTAGGAAAGGAAATATCTTCACATAAAAACTATACAGAAACAAGCTGACAAACTTCTTTGTGTTGTTTGCATTCATCTCACAGGATTGAACGTTTCTTTCCATTGAGCAGTTTTGAAACACTGTTTTTGTACCATCTGCAAGTGGACATTTGGAGCACTTTGAGGCCTATGGTGGAAAAGGAAATATCTTCACTTAAGAACTAGACAGAACATTCTGAGAAACTTCTTTGTGATGTGTGCATTCATCTCACAGAGTTGAACCTTTCTTTTGATTGAGTAGTTTTGAAACACTCTTTTTGTAGAATCTGTAAGTGGACATTTGGAGCGCTTTGCAGCCAATTGTGGAAAAGGAAATATCTTCACATAACAAGACAGCAGCATTCTCAGAAACTTCTTTGTGATGTGTGCATTCATCTCACAGAGTTGAAACTTTCTTTTGATTGAGCAGCTTTGAAACACTCTTTTGTAGAATCTGCAAGTGGACATTAGGAGCGTTTTGAGGCCTATGGCAGAAAAGGAAATATCTTCACATAAAAACTTGACAGAAGCATTGTCACAAACTTCTTTGGAATGCGTGCTTTCATGTCACAGAGTTGAACATTTCTTTTCATTAATCTATTTTGAAACACTCTTTTGGTAGAATCTGCAAGTGGACATTTGGAATTCTTTGAGGCCTATGGTGGAAAAGGAAATATCTTCACAGAAAAACTACACAGAAGTATTCTGGGAAATTTCTTTGGGATGTGTGCATGCATCTCACAGAGTTGAACTTTCTTTTGATTGAGCAGTTTGAAACACTATTTTTGTAGAATCTGCAAAGGGACATTTGGAGCACTTTGTGGCATATGGTGGTAAAGGAAATATCTTCACATAAAAACTAGACAGAAGCATGCTGACAAACTTCTTTGTGTTGTTTGCATTCATCTCACAGAATTGAACCTTTCTTTCCATTGAGCAGTTTTGAAACACTGTTTTTGTACAATCTGCAAGTGGACATTTGGAGCACTTTGAGCCCTATGGTGGAAAAGGAAATATCTTCACTTAAGAACTAGACAGAACATTGTGAGAAACTTCTTTGTGATGTCTGCATTCAACTCACAGAGTTGAACATTTCTTTTCAATGAGCAGTTTTGAAACACTCTTTTTGTAGAATCTACAAGTGGACACTTGGTGCGCTTTGAGGCCTATGGTGGAAAAGGAAATATCTTCTGATAAAACATGGACAGAAACATTCTGAGAAACTTCTTCGTGATGTGTATATTCATCTCAAAGATTTGAAGCTTTCTTTTGATTGAACAGTTTGGAAACACTCTTTTTGCACTATCTGCAAGTGGACATTTGGAGGGCTCTGAGGCCTCTGGTGGAAAAGGAAATATCTTCACTTAAGAACTGCAAAGAATCATTCTGAGAAAATGCTTCGTGATGTGTGCATTCATCTGACAGAGTTGAACCTTACTGTTGATTGAGCAGATTTGAAACATCCTTTTTGTACTATCTACAAGTTGACATTTGGAGTGCGTTGATGCCTATGGTGTAAAAGTATATATCTTCACATAAAAACTAGACAGAAGGATTCTTAGAAATGTCTTTGTTATATGTGCATTCATCTCACAGAGTTGAAACTTTCTTTTGATTGACTAGTTTGGAAAATCTTTTTGAAGGATCTGCAAGTGGACATTTGGATCACTTTGAGGCCTATGGTGAAAAAGGAAATATCTTCACATAAGAAGTAGTCAAAAACATTCTGAGAAACTTCTTTGTGATGTGTGCATTCTTTTCACAGAGTTGAACCTTTCTTTTGATTGAGCAGCTTTGAAACACTCTTCTTGTAGAATATGCAAGTGGACATTTGGAGAGCTTTGCGGTGTACGGTGGAAAAGAAATATCTTCACATAAAAACTAGACTGAAGCATTCTGACAAACTTCTTTGTGATGCGTGCATTCATCTCGCAAAGATGAACTTTTCTTTTGATTGAGCAGCTTTGAAACACTTTTTTTGTAGAATCTGCAAGTGGACATTTGGAGCGCTTTGAGGAGTGTGATGGAAAATGAAATATCTTCATATAATAACTATGCAGAAGTATTGTGAGAAACTTCTTTGTGATGAGTGCATTCATCTCACAGAGTTGAAACTTTCTTTTGATTTTCTAGTTTGGAAACACTCTTTTTGTAGAATCTGCAAGTGGACATTTGGAGCGCATTGAGGCCAATGGCAGAGAAGGAAATATCTTCACATAAAAACTAGACAGAAGCATTCTGATAAACTTCTTTGTGATATGTGCATTCACCTCACAGTGTTGAACCTTACTTTTAATTGAGCCGTTTTGAAACTCCCTTTTTGTACTATCTGCAAGTGGACATTTGGAGTGCTTTGAGGCCTATGGTGGAAATGGAGATATCTTCAAATAAAAACTAGAGAGAAGCATTCTGACAAACTACTTTGTGATGTGTGCATTCATCTCACAGAGATGAACCTTTCTTTTGATCGAGCAGCTTTGAAACACTTTTTTTGTAGAATCTGCAAGTGGACATTTGGAGCGCTTTGAGGAGTGTGATGGAAAACGAAATATCTTCATGTATTAACTACGCAGAAGTATTCTGAGAAACTTCTTTGTGACGAGTGCATTCATCACACAGAGTTGAAACTTTCTTTTGATTTTCTAGTTTGGAAACACTCTTTTTGTAGAATCTGCAAGTGGATATTTGGAGCGCTTTGTGGCCTATGGTAAAAAAGGAAATACCGTCACATAAAAACTAGACAGAAGCATTCTAACAAACTTCTTTGTGATATGTGCATTCATCTCACAGAGTTGAACTTTACTTTTGATTGAGCTGTTTTGAAACACCCTTTTTGTACTTTCTGCAAGTGGACATTTGGAGTGCTTTGAGGCCTATGGTGGAAAAGGAAATATCTTCACATAAAAACTAGACCGAAGCATTCTGACAAATTTCTTTGTGATGTGTGCATTCATTTCACAGAGTTGAACCTTTCTTTTGATTGGTTAGTTTGCAAAATCACTTTTTGTAGATTCTACAAGTGGACATTTGGAGTGCTTTGAGGCCTATGATGGAAAAGGTAATATCTTCACTTAATAACTAGACAGAAGCATTCTGAGAAACTTCTTCGTGATGTGTGCATTCACCTCACAGATTTGAAACTTTCTTTTGATTGAGCAGATTTGAAACAATCTTTTTGTCGAATCTGCAAGTGTACATTTGGAGCACTTTGCAGCCTCTGGTGGAAAAGGAAGTATCTTCACATAAAAACTAGACAGAAGCATTCTGACAAAATTCTTTGTGATGTGTGCATTCTTCTCAGAGAGTTGAACCTTACTTTCGATTTACCAGTTTTGAAACACCGTTTTTTTTTTTCTGTTTTTTTTTTTTTTGGCTTTCTCCTTTTTTTTTTATTATTGTTATTATTATACTTTAAGTTTTAGGGTACATGTGCACAATGTGCAGGTTCGTCACATATGTATCCATGTGCCATTTTGGTGTGCTGCACCCATTAACTTGCCATTTAGCATTAGGTATATGTCCTAATTCTGTCCCTTCCCCCTCCCCCCACCCCACAACCGTCCCCGGAGTGTGATGTTTCCCTTCCCTTGTCCGTGTGTTCTCATTGTTCAGTTCCCACCTATGAGTGAGAACATGTGTTGTTTGGTTTTTTGTCCTTTCGTATTCCCATTGAAAACTGGCAAAAGACAGGGATGTCCACTCTCACCACTCCTATTCAACATAGTGTTGGAAGTTCTGGCCAGGGCAATCAGGTAGGAGAAGTGAATAAAGGGCACTCAATTAGGAAAAGAGGAAGTCAAATTGTCCCTGTTTGCAGATGACATGATTGTATAACTAGAAAACCCCATTGTCTCAGCCGAAAATCTGCTTAAGCTGATAAGCAACTTCAGCAAAGTCTCAGGATACAAAATCAATGTGCAAAAATCACAAGCATTCTTGTACACCAATAGCAGACACACAGAGAGTCAAATCATGAGTGAACTCCCATTCACAATTGCTTCAAAGAGAATAAAATAAATAGGAATCTAACTTACAAGGGACGTGAAGGATCTCTTCAAGGAGAACTAGAAACCACTGCTTAATGAAATAAAAGAGGATACAAACAAGTGGAAGAACATTCCATGCTCATGGGTTGGAAGAATCAATGTCATGAAAATGGCCATACTGCCCAAGGTAATTTATAGATTCAATGCCATCCCCATCAAGCTACCAATGACTTTCCTCAGAGAATTGGAAAAAAACGACTTTAAAGTTCATATGGAACCAAAAAAGAGCCCGCATCGCCAAGTCAATCCCAAGCCAAAACAACAAAGCTGGAGGGATCACGCTACCTGACTTCAAACTATACTACAAGGCTACAGTAACCAAAACAGCATTGTTCTGGTACCAAAACAGAGACATAGATCAATGGAACAGAACAGAGACCTCAGGAATAATGCCGCATATCTACAACTATCAGATCTTTGACAAACCTGACAAAAACAAGCAATGGGAAAAGGATTCCCTATTTAATAAATGGTGCTGGGAAAACTGGCTAGCCATATGTAGAAAACTGAAATTGGAAACATTCTTGTTGTAGAATCTGCAAGTGGACATTTAGAGGGCTTTGAGACATATTGTGGAAAAGGAAATATCTTTACATGATAGCTAGAGAGAAACATTCTGACAAACATCTTTGTGATGTGTGCATTCATCTCACAGAGTTGAACCTTTCTTTTGATTGAGCAGTTTGGAAACACTCTTTTTGTAGAATCTGCAAGTGGACATTTGGAGAACTTTGCGGCCTATAGTGGAAAAGGAAATATCTTCACATAAAAACTAGACCGAAGAATTCTGAGAAACTTCTTTGTGATGTGTGCATTCATCTCATAGTGTTGAGCATTTCTTCTGATTGAGCAGCTTTGAAACACTCTTTTTGTAGAATCTGCATGTGGACATTTGGAGCGCTTTGAGGCCTATAGTGGAAAAGGAAATATCTTCATATAAAAACTATACAGAAACATTCTGACAAACTTCTTAGTGATGTGTGCATTCATCTCATAGAGTTGAACCTTTCTGTTCATTGAGCAGTTTTGAAAAACTCTTTTTGTGGAATGTGCAATTGTACATTTGAAGCGATTTGAGGCCTATGGTTGAAAAGGAAATATGTTCACATAAAAACTAGACAGAAGCATTCTGACCAATTACTTTGTGATGTGTGCATTCATCTAACAGAGTTGAACATTTCTTTTGATTGAGTAGTTTGGAAATTCTCTTTTTGTAGAATCTGCAAGAGCACATTAGGAGTGCTTTGGGGCCTAAGGTGGAAAAGGTAATATCTTCACTTAAGAAGTAGACAGAAGCATTCTGAGTAACTTCCTTGTGATGTGTGCATTCATCTCACAGAGTTGAACCTTTCTTTTGATTGAGTAGTGTAGAAACTCTCTTTTTGTAGAACCTGCAAGTGGACATTTGGAGCGCATTGAGGCCTATGGTGGAAAAGGAAATATCTTCATTTAAGAAGTAGACGGAAGCATTCTGTGAAACTGCTTTGTGATGTGTGCATTCCTCTCACAGAGCTGAAACTTTATTTTAATTGAGCAGTTTTGAAAAACTCTTTTTCTAGAAATTGCAAGTGGACATTTGGAGTGCTTTGCAGCCGATGGTGGAAAAGGAAATATCTTCACATATAAACTAGACAAAAGCATTCTGACAAGCTTATTTGTGATGGGTGCATTCATCTCAAAGAGTTGAACCTTACTTTCGATTGAGCAGTTTTGAAACACTCTTTTTGTAGAATCTGCAAGTGGACATTTGGAGAGCTTTGAGGCCTGTGGTGGAAAAGGAAATATCTTCACACAAAACTAGACAGAAGCATTCTGAGAAACTTATATGTAATATATGCATTCATCTCACAGAGTTTCAACTTTCTTTTGATTGAGCAACTTTGAAACACTCTTTTTGTAGTATCTGCAAGTGGACATTTTTGGCGCTTTGAGGCAATGGTGGAAGAGAAAATATCTTCACATAAATACTATACAGAAATATTCTGAAAAACTTCACCGGGATGTGTGGATTCATCTCACAGAGTTGAACCTTTCTTTTGATTGAGCAGTTTTGAAAGACTCTTTTTGTAGAATCTGAATTTGGACATTTGGTGCGCTTTGCGGCCTATGGTAGAAAAGGAAATATCTTCACATAAAAACTAGACAGAAGCATTCTGACAAACTTCTTTGTGATTTGTGCATTCATGTCACAGAGTTGAACCTTTCTTTTGATTGAGCAGCTTTGAAACACTCTTTTTGTAGAATCTGCATGTGGACATTTGGAGCTCTTTGAGGCCTGTGGTGGAAAACGAAATACCTTCACATAAAAACTATAACAGAAACATTCTGATAAACTTCGTTATGTGTGCATTCTTCTCACAGATTTGAACCTTTCTTTTCATTGAGCAGTTTTGAAAAACTCTTTTTCTGGAATCTGCAAGTGTACATTTGAAGCGCTTTGAAGCCTATGGCTTAAAAGGAAATATGTTCACATAAAAACTAGACAGAATCATTCATAGAAAATCCTTTGTGTTGTGTGCATTCATCTCACCGGGTTGAACACTTCTTTTGATTGAGCAGGTTTAAACACTCTTTTTGTAGAATCTGCGAGTGGACATTAGGAGCCCTTTGAGTCCTGTGGTGGAATAGGAAATATCTTCATTTAAGAACTAGACAGAAGCATTCTGAGAAACTTCTTTGTGATGTGTGCGTTCATCTCACAGAGTTGAAACTTTCTTTTCGTTGAGCAGTTTTGAAACAATCTTTTTGTAGAATCTGCAAGTAGACATTTGGAGCGCTTTGCGGCCTATGGTGGAAAAGGAAACATCTATACATGAAAACTAGACAGAAGCATTCTGACAAACTTCTTTGTGATGTGTGCTTTCATATCACAGAGTTGAACATTTCTTTTGCTTGAGCAATTTGGAAACACTCTTTTTATAGAACCCGCATGTGGACATTTGGAGCGCTTTGAGGCCTATGGTGGAAAAGGAAACATCTTCATATGAAAACTAGACAGAAGCATTCTGACAGACTTTTTTGTGATGTGAGAATTCATCTCACAGAGTTGAACCCTACCTTCGATTGAGCTGTTTTGAAACACTCTTTTTGTAGGATTTGCAATTGGATATTTGGAGCGCTTTGAGGACTATGGTGGAAAAGGAAATATCTGCACATAAACACTAGACAGAATTATTCTGAGAATATTCTTTGTGATGCGTGCATTCATCTCACAGAGGTGAACCTTTCTTTTGATTGAGCAGTTTTGAAACACTATTTTTGTGGGATCTGTAAGTGGACATTTGGAGCATTTTGACGCCTATGCTGGAAAAGGAAATATCTTCACATAAAAACTGGACAGAAGCATTCTGAGAAATTTCTTTGTGATGTGAGCATTCATCTCACAGAGTTGAAGCTTTCTTTTGATTGAGCAGCTTTGAAACACTCTTTTTGTAGAATCTACATGTGGAAATTTGGAGCGTTTTGAGGCCTATTGTTGAAAAGGTAATATCTTCACATAATAACTAGACACAAGCATTCTGAGAAACTTCTTTGTGATATGTGCATTTATCTCACAGCGTTGAAATTTTCTTTCGATAGAGTGGTTTGGAAACTCTTTTTGTAGAATCTGCAAGAGGACATTTGGAGAGCTTTGAGTCCTGTGGTGGAAAAGGAAATAGCTACACTTAAGAACCTGACAGAAGAATTCTGAGAAACTTCTTTGTGAAATGTGCATTCATCTCACAGAGTTGAACCTTTCTTTTGATTGAGCAGTTTTGAAACACTCTTTCTGCAGGATCTGCAAGTGGACATTTGCAGCCCTTTGGGGCCTATGGTGGAAAAGGAAATATCTTCATATAAAGACTAGACAGAAGCATTCTGGCAAATTTCTTTGTGATGTGTGCATTCATCTCACTGAGGTGAACCTTTCTTTTGATTGAGTAGTTTGGAAACTCTCTTTTTGTGGAATCCGGAAGTGGACATTTGGAGTGCTTTGGGACCAATGGTGGAAAAGGAAATATCTTCACTTAAGAACTAGACGGAAGCATTCTCAGAAACTTCTTTGTGATGTGTGCATTCATCTCACAGAGTTGAACCTTTCTTTTGATTGAGCAGTTTTGAAACACTCTTTTCATAGAATCTGCAAGCGGACATTTGGAGCCCTTTGAAGCCTATGGTGGAAAAGGAAATATCTTCACATAAAAACTAGACAGAAACATTCTGAAAAACCTCTTTGTGATGTGTGCATTCATCTCACAGGGTTGAAACTTACTTTCGATTGAGCAGTTTTGAAACCCTCTTTTTCTAGAGTCTAGAATTGGACATTTGGAGTGCTTAGAGTCCTATGGAGGAAAAGGAAATATCTTCATATAAAAACTAGAGAGAAGCGTTTTGAGAAACTCTTTGTGATGTGTGCATGCATTCTTCTCACAGATTTGAACCTTTCTTTTGATTCAGCAGCTTTGAAACACTCTTTTTGTAGCATCTAGAATTGGACATTTGGAGCGCTTAGAGTCCTATGGTGGAAAAGGAAATATATTCACGTAAAAACTAGACAGAATCATTCAGAGAAAATTATTTGTGATGTGTGCATTCATCTCACAGAGTTAAACCGTTATTTTGATGGAGCAGTTTGGAAAAACTTTTTTGTACGATCTGGATGTTTACATTTGGAGCCTTTTGAGGCCTATGGTGTAAAAGGAAATATCTTCAAATAAAAACTAGACAGAAGCATTCTGAGAAACTTCTTTGTGATGAGTGCATTCATCTCATAGAGTTGAACATTTCTTTTGATTCAGCAGCTTTGAAACACTCTTTTTGTAGAATATGCAAAAGGACATTTGGAGTGCTTTGAGGCCAATGGTGGAAAAGGAAATATCTTCACATAAAAACTAGACAGAAGCATTCTGAGAAACTTCTTTGTGACGTGTGCATTCATCTCAGAGTGTTGAACCTTTCTTTTGATTGAGCAGCTTTGAAACACTCTTTTTTAGAATCTGCATGTGGAGATTTGGAGCGCTTTGAGGCCAATGGTGGAAAAGGAAATATCTTCACATAAAAACGATTCAGAAATATTCTGAGAAACTTCTTTCTGATGTGTGCATTCATGCCACAGAGTTGGGCCTTTATTTCATTGAGCAGTTTTTATTTATTTATTTATTTATTATTATTATACTTTAAGTTTTAGGGTACATGCGCACAATGTGCAGGTTAGTTACATATGTATACATGTGCCATGCTGGTGGACTGCACCCACTAACTCGTCATCTAGCATTAGGTGTATCTCCCAATGCTATCCCTCCCCCCTCCCCCCACCCCACAACAGTCCCCAGAGTGTGATGTTCCCCTTCCTGAGTCCATGTGTTCTCATTGTTCAATTCCCACCTATGAGTGAGAATATGCAGTGTTTGGTTTTTTATTCTTGCGACAGTTTGCTGAGAATGATGATTTCCAATTCATCCATGTCCCTACAAAGGACATGAACTCATCATGTTTTATGGCTGCATAGTATTCCATGGTGTATATGGGCCACATTTTCTTAATCCAGTCTATCATTGTTGGACATTTGGGTTGGTTCCAAGTCTTTGCTATTGTGAATAATGCCGCAATAAACATACGTGTGCATGTGTCTTTATAGCAGCATGATTTATAGTCCTCTGGGTATATATACAGTAACGGTATGGCTGGGTCAAATGGTATTTCCAGTTCTAGATCCCTGAGGAATTGCCACACTGACTTCCACAATGGTTGAACTAGTTTACAGTCCCACCAACAGTGTAAAAGTGTTCCTATTTCTCCACATCCTTTCCAGCACCTTTTGTTTCCTGACTTTTTAATGATTGCCATTGTAACTGGTGTGAGATGGTATCTCATTGTGGTTTTGATTTGCATTTCTCTGATGGCCAGTGATGGTGAGCATTTTTTCATGTGTTTTTTGGATGCATAAATGTCTTCTTTTGAGAAATGTCTGTTCATGTCCTTAAAAATCAATGTACAAACTTCACAAGCATCCTTATACACCAACAACAGACAAACAGAGAGCCAAATCATGAGTGAACTCCCATTCACAATTGCTTCAAAGAGAATAAAATACCTAGGAATCCAACTTACAAGGGATGTGAAGGACCTCTTCAAGGAGAACTAAAAACCACTGCTCAAGGAAATAAAAGAGGATATAAACAAATGGAAGAACATTCCATGCTCTTGGATAGGAAGAATCAATATCGTGAAAATGGCCATACTGCCCAAGGTAATTTACACATTCAATGCCATCCCCATCAAGCTACCAATGACTTTCTTCACAGAATTGGAAAAAGCTACTTTAAAGCTCATATGGAACCAAAAAAGAGCCCGCATCGCCAAGTCAATCCTAAGCCAAAAGAACAAAGCTGGAGGCATCACACTACCTGACTTCAAACCATACTAGAAGGCTACAGTAACCAAAACAGCATGGTACTGGTACCAAAACAGAGATATAGATCAATGGAACAGAACAGAGCCCTCAGAAATAACGCCACATATCTACAACTATCTGATCTTTGACAAATCTGAGAAAAACAAGCAATGGGGAAGGGATTCTCTATTTAATAAATGGTGCTGGGAAAACTGGCTAGCCATATGTAGAAAGCTGAAACTGGATCCCTTCCTTACACCTTACACAAAAATCTATTCAAGATGGATTAAAGACTTAAACATTAGACCTAAAACCATAAAAACCCTAGAAGAAAACCTAGTCATTACCATTCAGGACATAGGCATGGGCAAGGACTTCATGTCTAAAACACCAAAAGCAATGGCAACAAAAGCCAACATTGACAAATGGGATCTAATTAAACTAAGGAGCTTCTGCACTGCAAAAGAAACTATCATCAGAGTGAACAGGCAACCTACAAAATGGGAGAAAAATTTCATAAGCTACTCATCTGACAAAGGGCTAATATTCAGAATCTACAATGAACTCAAACAAATTTACAAGAAAAAACAAACAACCCCATCAAAAAGTGGGTGAAGGACATGAACAGACATTGAGCAGTTTTGAAAAACTCTTTTTGTAATATCTGCAAGTGGACATTTGGAGCGCTTTTTGGCCTATGGTGGAAAAGGAAATATCTTCATTTAAGAACTAGATGGAAGCATTCTGTGAAACTGCTTTGTGATGTGCTCATTCCTCTCACAGCGCTGAAACTTTATTTTAATTGAACAGTTTTGAGAACTCTCATTTTGTAGAATCTGCAAGTGGATATTTGGAGCGCTTTGCAGCCTATGGTGGAAAAGGAAATATCTTCACATTAAAACTAGGCAGAAGCATTCTGACAAGCTTATTTGTCATTTATCTCAAGGAGTTGGCATTTATCTCATGGAGTTGAACTTAACTTTCAATAGAGCAGTTTTGAAACACTCTTTTTGTAGAATCTGCAAGTGGACACTTGGAGAGCTTTGATGCCTGTGGTGGAAAAGGAAATATCTTCACACAAAACTAGACAGAAGCAATCTGATAAAGTTTTTGTGATGTGTGCATTCATCTCGCACAGTGGAACTTTAATTTCGATTGAGCAGTTTTGAAACACTCCTTTTGTAGAATCTGTAAGTGGACATTTGGAGCGCTTTGATGCCTATGGTGGAAAACGAAATATCTTCACATAATAACTAGACAGAAGCATTCTGAGGAACTTCAATGTGATGTGTGCATTCATCTCATAGAGTTGAAACTTTCTTTTGATTGAGCCACTTTGAAACACTCTTTCTGTAGTATCTGCAAGTGGACATTTTTGGCGCTTTGAGGCAATGGTGGAAAATGTAACATCTTCACATAAAAACTAGACAGAAGAATTCTGAGAAACTTCTTTGAGATGTGTGCCTTCATGTTACAGAGTTGAACCTTTCTTTTGATTGAGCAGTTTGGAAACTTTTTGAAGAATCTTCAGGTGGACAATTGGAGCACTTAGTGGCCTATGGTAGAAAAGGAAATATGTTCACATAAAATCTAGACAGAAGCAATCGGACAAGAGCAACTTTGAAACACTCTTTCTGTAGTATCTGCAAGTGGACATTTTTGGCGCTTTGAGGCAATGGTGGAAAAAGAAATATCTTCACACAAGAACTATACAGAAACGTTCTGAAAAACTTCACTGAGATGTGTGGATTCATCTCACAGAGTTGAACCTTTCTTTTGATTGAGCAGTTTTGAAAGACTCTATTTGTAGAATCTAAATTTGGACATTTGGTGTGCTTTGCGGCCCATGGTGGAAAAGGAAATATCTTCACATAAAAGCTAGACAGAAGCATTCTGACAAACTTCTTTGTGACTTGTGCATTCATGTCACAGAGTTGAAACTTTCTTTTGAATGAGCAGCGTTGAAACACTCTTTTTGTAGAATCTGCATGTGGATATTTGGAGCTCTTCGAGGCCTATGGTGGAAAAGCAAATACCTTAACATAAAAACTATACAGAAATATTCTGACAAACTTCTTGTTATGTGTACATTCTTCACACAGATTAGAACCTTTCTTTTCATTGAGCAGTTTTGAAAAACTCTTTTTGTGGAATCTGCAAGTGTACATTTGAAGCGCTTTGAGGCCTATGGTTTAAAAGGAAATATGTCCACATAAAAACTAGACAGAATCATTCATAGAAAATCCTTTGTGTTGTGTGCATTCATCTCACCGGGTTGAACATTTCTTTTGATTGAGCAGGTTTAAACACTCCTTTTGTAGAATCTGCAAGTCGACATTGGGAGCCCTTTGAGTCCTATGGTGGAATAGGAAATATCTTCATTTAAGAACTAGACAGAAGCAATCTGAGAAACTTCTTTGTGATATGTGCATTCATCTCACAGAATTAAGCCATTCTTTTGATTGAGCAGTTTCGAACCTCTCTTTTCGTAGACTCTGCAAGTGGACATTTCGAGCACTTTGAGGCTTATGGTGAAAAAGGAAATATCTTCCCATAAAAAGTAGACAGAAGAATTCTGAAAAACTTTGTGATGGGCACGTTCATCTCACAGAGTTGAAACTTTCTTTTGATTGAGCAGTTTGGAAACCCTCTTTTTATAGAATCTGCAAGTGGACATTTGGAGTACTTTGCAGCCTACTTTGCGGCCTATGGTAGACTAGGAAATATGTTCACATAAAATCTAGACAGAAGTAATCTGAGAAACAACTTTGTGATGTGTGCATTCATCTCACAGAGATAAACATTTCTTTTGATTGAGCAGTTTTGAAACTTTCTTTTCGTAGAATCTGCAAGTGGACATTTGGAGCACTTTGAGGCCTATGGTGGAAAAGGAAATATCTTCACATAAAAACTACATAGAAGCATTCTGAGAAAGATTTTGTGATGTGCCCATTCATCACCCAGAGTTGAATCTTTCTTTTGAAGGACCAGTTTTGAAATACTCTATTTGTAGAATCTTCAAGTGGACATTTTGAGCGCCTTGAGGCCTATGGTTTAAAAGGAAATATCTTCACATAAAAACTAGACAGAAGAGTTCTGAGAAACTTCTTTGTGATGTGTGCACTCATATCACAAAGTTGGACCTTTCTTTTCATTGAGCAGTTTGGAAACACTGTTTTTGTAGAATCTGCAACTGGACATTTGGAGAGCTTTAAGGCCTATCTTTGAAAAGGAAATATCTTCACATAAAAACTAGACAGAAGAATTCTGAGAAATTTCTTTGTGAGGTGTGCATTCATGTCACAGAGTAAAACATTTTATTTGATTGAGCAGTTTTGGAACTCTTTTTTCATTGAATCTGCAAGTGGACATTTGGAGCGCTTTGCGGCCTCTGGTGGAAAAGGAAATACCTTCACATAAAAACTAGACAGAAGAATTCTGAGAAACTTCTTCATGATGTGTGCGTTCATGTTACAGAGTTGAAACTTTCTTTTGATTGAGAAGTTTGGAAACATTCTTTTGTAGAATGTGTAAGTGGATATTTGGAGCACTTGGTGACCTATGATAGAAAAGGAAATATCTTCACATAAAATCTAGACAGAAGAAATCTGAGAAACTTGTTTGTGATGTGTGCATTCATCTAACAGAGTTAAAACTTTCTCTTTATTGAGCAGTTTTGAAACTCTCTTTTTTTAGAATCTGCATGTGGACATTTGGAGCGCTTTGAGGCCTATGGTGGTAAAGGAAATATCTTCACATAAAAACTAGTTAGAAGCATTCTGAGAAACCTCTTTGTGATGTGTGGGTTCATATCACAGAGTTGAAACTTTCTTTTGATTGACCAGTTCGGAATCACTCCTTTTTTTATAATCTGCACGTGGATATTTGGAGTGCTTTGCATCCTGTGGTAGAAAAGGAAATTTCTTCACATAAAATGTAGACAGAAGCAATCTGAGAAACGTCTTTGTGATGAGTGCATTCGTCTCACAGATTTAAACCTTTCTTTGGATTGAGCAGTTTTTAAACTACCTTTTTGTAGAATCTGCAAGTGGACATTTGGAGTGCTTTGAGGCCAATGTTGGAAAAGGATATATCTTCACATAAAAGCTACACAGAAGAATTCTGAGAAACTTCTTTGTGATGGGTGCATTCACCTCACAGAGTTGAACCTTCCTTTTGATTGAGCAGTTTGGAAACCCTCTTTTTGTGGAAACTGCAAGTGGATATTTGGAGGAATTTGTGGCCTATGCTAGAAAAGGAAATATCTTCACATAAAATTCAGACAGAAGCAATCTGAGAAACTTCTTTGTGATGTGTGCATGCATCTCACCGAGTTAAACCATTCTTTTGATTGAGCAGTTTTGAATCTCTCTTTTTTTAGAATCTGGAAGTAGACATTTGGAGCTGTTTCAGGCCAATGGTGGAAAAGGAAGTATCGTCACATAAAAACTAGCCAGAAGATTTCTGAGAAACTACTTTGTGATGTGTACATTCATCTCGTAGAGTTGAACCTTTTTTTTGATTGAGCAGTTTGGAAACACTCTTTTTGTAGAATTTGCAAGTGGACATTTGGAGTGCTTTGAGGCCTGTGGTGGAAAAGGAAATGTCTTCACATAAAAACTAGACAGAAGAATTCTGAGAAACTTCTTTGTGATGCGTGCATTCATCCCACAGAGTTGAACTTTTTTTTTGATTGAGCAGTTTGGAAACACTCTTTTTGTAGAATCTGCATGTGGACATTTGGAGCACTTTGAGGCATGTGGTGGAAAAGGAAATATCTTCACATAAAACCTAGACAGAAGCAATCAGAGAAACTTATTTGTGATGTGTGCATTCATCCCACAGAGTTGAAACTTCCTTTTCATTGATCAGTTTGGAATCACTCTTTTTGTAGAATGTGCAAGTGGACATTTGGAGCGCTTTGCGGACTATGGTAGAAAAGGAAATATCTTCACATTAAATCTAGACAGAAGCAATCTGAGAAATTTCTTTGAGATGTGTGCATTCGTCTCACAGAGTTAAACCTTCCTTTTGATAGAGCAGTATTGAAACTCTCTTTTTGTAGAATCTGCAAGTGGACATTTGGAGTGCTTTCAGGCCTACGGTGGAAAAGGAAATATCGTCACATAACAACTAGACAGAAGAATTCGGAAAAACTTCTTTGTGATGTGTGCTTTCATCTCACAGAATTGAGCCTTTCTTTTGATTGAGCAGTGTTGAAACCCTCTTTTTGTAGAATCTGCAAATTGTCAATTGGAGTGCTTTGAGGCCTATGGTGGAAAAGGAATTTATCTTCACATAAAAACTAGAGAGAAGAATTCTGACAAACTTCTTTATGATGTGTGTGTTCATTTCACAGAGTTGAAACTTTCTTTTGATTGAGCAGCTTGGAAAGAGTCTTTTTGTAGAATATGCAAGTGGACGTTTGGAGTGCTTTTTGGCCTATGGACGAAAACAAAATATCTTCATATAAAATCTAGACAGTAGCAATCTGAGAACTTCTTTGTAATGTGTGCATTCAACTCAGAGAGTTAAAACTTCATTTGATTGAGCAGTTTTGAAACTCTCTTTTTGTAGATTCTGCAAGTGGACATTTGGAGAGCTTTGAGGCTTATGGTGGAAAAGGAAATATCTTCACATTAAAAGTAGACAGAAGAATTCCGACAAACTTCTTTGAGATGCGTGAATTAATCTCTCAAAGTTGAACCTTTCTTTTGATTGAGCAGTTTGGAAGCACTCTTTTTGTAGAATCTGTAAGTAGACATTTGCAGCGCTTTGCAGCCTATGGTAGAAAAGGAAATAACTTCACATAAAATCTAGACAGAAGCAATCTGAGAAACTTCTTTGTGATGTGTGCTTTCATCTAACAGAGTTAAACATTTATTTTGACTGAGGAGTTTTGAAACTCTCTTTTAGTAGAATCTGCAAGTGGACATTTGGAGCACTTTTAGGCCTAGGGTGGAAAAGAAACTATCTTCACATAAAAACTAGACAGAAGAATTCTGATAAACTTCTTTGTGATGCATGAGTTCATCTGACAGAGTTGAACTGTTCTTTCGATTGAGGAGTTTGGAAACACTCTATTTTTAGAATCTGGAAGTGGACACTTGGAGCACTTTGAGGCCTATGGTGGAAAAGGAAATATCTTCACATAAAGTCTAACAGAAGCAATCTGAGAAACTTCACTGTGATGTGCGCATTCATCTCACAGAGTTGAACCATTCTTTTCATTGAGCACTTTTGAAACTCTCTTTTTGTAAAATGTGCAAGTGGAATTTCGGAGCACTTTGAGGCCTATGGTGGAAAGGAAATGTCTTCACATAAAAACTAGACAGAAGAATTCTGAGAAAGGTTTTGTGATGTGTGCGTTCAGCTCACAGAGTTGAACTTTTCTTCTGATTGAGCATTTTTGAAACACTCTTTTTGTAGAATCTGCAAGTGGATATTTGGTGTCATTTGTAGCCTATTGTATAAAAGGAAATATCTTCACATAAAATCTAGACAGAAACAGTCTCAGAAACTTGTTTGTGATTGGCGCATTCATCTCACAGAGTTAACCCTTTATTTTGATTGAGCAGTTTTGAGACTCTCTTTTTGTAGAATCTGCAAGTGGAACTTTGGAGCGCTTTGAAGACTATGGTGGAAAAGGAAATATCTTCACATAAAAACTAGACAGAAGAATTCTGACAAACTTCTTTGAGATGTGTGCGTTCATGTCACAGAATTGAACATTTCTTTTGATTGAGCAGTTTCAAAACACTGTTTTTGTAGTATCTGCAAATGGACATTTGGTGCGCTTTGTGTCCTATGGTAGAAAATGAAATACCTTCACATAAAAACTAGACAGAAGAAATCTGAGAAACTTCTTTGTGATGTGTGCATTCATCTCACAGAGTTAAACCTTTCTTTAGATTCAGCAGTTTTGAAACTCTCTTTTTGTAGAATCTGGAAGTGGACATTTGGAGCGCATTGAGGCCTATGGTGGGAAAGGAAATATCTTCACATAAAAACTAGACAGAAGAATTCTGACAAACTACTTTGAGGTGCGTGCATTCATCTCACAGAGCTGAACCTTTCTTTTGATTGAGCAGTTTGGAAACACTCTTTTTGTAGAATCTGCTAGTGGACATTTGGTACACTTTGTGGCCTATGGTAGAAAATGAAATATCTTCACATAAAATCTAGACAGAAGCAATCTGAGAAACTTCTTTGTGATGTGTGCATTCATCTCACAGAGTTAAACTTTTGTTTTGATTGAGAAGTTTTGAAACTCTCTTTTTGTAGAATCTTCAAGTGGATATTTGGAGCACTTTGGCACCTATGGTGGAAAAGCAAATATCTTCACATAAAAACTAAACAGAAGAATTCTGAGAAACTTCTTTGAGATGCGCGAGTTCATCTCACGGAGTTGAACATTTCTTTCGATGGAGCAGCTTGGAAACACTCTTTTTGTAGAATCTGTGAGTGGACATTTGGTGCGCTTTGTGGCCTATGGTAGAAAATGAAATATCTTCACATAAAATCTAGACAGAAGCAATCTGAGAAACTTCTTCATGATGTGTGAACTCATCTCACAGAGTTAAACTTTTATTTTGATTGAGAAGTTTTGAAACTCTCTTTTTGTAGAATCTGCAAGTGGACATTTGGAGCACTTTGAGACCTATGGTGGAAAAGGAAATATCTTTACATAAAAACTAGACAGAAGAATTCTGAGAAACTTCTTTGTGATGTGTGCGTTCATCTCACAGAGTGGAAACTTTCTTTTGTTTGAGCAGTTTGGAAACACTCTTTTTGTGGAATATACAGGTGGACATTTGGAGCACTTTGCGGCCTATGGCAGAAAAGGAATTATCCTCTCGTAAAATCTAGACGGAAGCAATCTGAGAAACTACTTTGTGATGTGTGAATTCATCTCACAGAGTTAAACTTTTGTTTTGATTGAGAAGTTTTGAAACTCTCTTTTTGTAGAATCTCCAAGTGGATATTTGGAGCACTTTGACACCTATGGTGGAAAAGCAAATATCTTCACATAAAAACTAAACAGAAGAATTCTGAGAAACTTCTTTGAGATGCGCGAGTTCATCTCACAGAGTTGAACCTTTCTTTTGATTGAGCAGCTTGGAAACACTCTTTTTGTAGAATCTGTGAGTGGACATTTGGTGCGCTTTGTGGCCTATGGTAGAAAATGAAATATCTTCACATAAAATCTAGACAGAAACAATCTGAGAAACTTCTTCATGATGTGTGAACTCATCTCACAGAGTTAAACTTTTATTTTGATTGAGAAGTTTTGAAACTCTCTTTTTGTAGAATCTGCAGGTGGACATTTGGAGCACTTTGAGACCTATGGTGGAAAAGGAAATATCTTTACATAAAAACTAGACAGAAGAATTATGAGAAACTTCTTTGTGATGTGTGCGTTCATCTCACAGAGTGGAAACTTTCTTTTGTTTGAGCAGTTTGGAAACACTCTTTTTGTAGAATCTGCAAGTTGACATTTGGAGCACGTTGTGGCCTATGGTAGAAAAGTAAATATCTTCACATAAAATCTAATAGAAGCAATCCGAGAAACGTCTTTTTGATGCGTGCATTCAACTCACAGAGTGAGAGCTTTCTTTTGATGGGGCAGTTTGGAAACTCTATTTTTGTAGAATCTGCAAGTGGACATTTTGAGCACTTTGCGGCCTATGGTGGAAAAGGAAATATCTTCACATAAAAACGAGACAGAAAAATTCTGAGAAACTTTTTTGTGACGCGTGCGTTCATCTCAGAGAATTGAACTTTTCTTTCGGTTGACCAGGTTGGAAACACCCTTTTTGTAGAATCTGCAACAGGATATTTGGAGCACTTCGCGGTCTTTGGTAGAAAATGAAATATCTTCACATAAAATCTAGACAGAAGCAATCTGAGAAACTTCTTTGTGATGTGTACGTTTATCTCCCAGAGTTGAACATTTCTATTCATGGATCAGTTTTGACATACGCTTTTTGTAGAATCTGCAAGTGGAGATTTCGAGTGCCTTGAGACCTATGGTGGAAAATGAAATATCTTCATATAAAAAGTAGACAGAAAAATTCTGAGAAACGTCTTTGTGATATGTGGGTTCATCTCACAGAGTTGAAACTTTCTTTTGATTGAGCAGTTTGGAAACATGATTTTTGTAG
This sequence comes from Homo sapiens, assembly GCF_000001405.40. Lineage (NCBI taxonomy): Eukaryota > Metazoa > Chordata > Mammalia > Primates > Hominidae > Homo > Homo sapiens. The sequence goes on from NC_000018.10 coordinate 15,407,078, forward strand.
AATCTGCAACTGGACATTCGGAGCACTTTGAGGCATATGGTGGTTAACGAATTATCTTTACATAATAACTGGACAAAAGCATTCTGAGAAACTTCTTTGTGATGTGTGTGTTCATCTCTCAGAGTTAAACATTTCTTTTGATTGAGCAGTTTTGAAACTCTCTTTTTGAAGAGTCTTCAAGTGGACATTTGGAGGGCTTCACTGCCTGTGGTAGAAAAGGAACTTTCTTCACATAAAATCTAGACAGCAGCTATCTGAGAAACTTCTTTGTGATGCCTGCATTCATTTCACAGAATTGAACATTTCTTTTGACTGAGCAGTTTGGAAACACCCTTTCTTTAGAAGCTGCAATTGGACATTTGAAGAGCTTTGTGGCCTATGGTAGAAAAGGAAATACCTTCACATAAAATCTAGGCAGAATCAGTCTGAGAAACATCTTTGTTATGTCTGCATTCATCTCAGAGAGTTAAAACTTTCTTTTGAATGAGCAGTTTTGAAACTCTCTTTTTGTAGAATCTGCAAGTGGACATTTGAAGTGCTTTGAGGCCTATAGTGGAAAAGGAAATATCTTCACATAAAAACTAGACAGAAGAATTCTGAGAAACTTCTTGATGATGTGTGCGTTCATCTCACAGAGTTGAAACTTTCTTTTGACTGAGCAGTTCGGAAACACTCTTTTTCCAGAATCTGCAAGGGGACAATTTGGAGTGCTTAGTGCCCTATGGTAGAAAAGGAAACATCTTTACATAATATCTAGACAGAAGTAGTCTGAGATACTTCTTTGTGATGTGTGCATTCATCTCACAGAGTTAAACGTTTCTTTTGATAGAGCAGTTTAGAAACTCTCTTTTTGTGGAATCTGCAAGTGGACATTTGGAGCGCTTTGAGGCCTACTGTGGAAAAGGTAATATCTTCAAATAAAAACTAGACAGAGAAATTCTGAAAAACTACGTTGTGATGTGTGCATTCATCTCCCAGAGTTGAATCTTTCTTTTGATGGATCAGCTTTGAAATAGTCTTTTTTGTAGAATCTGCAATTGGACATCTAAAGAGACTTGATGCCTACGGTGGAAAATGAAATACCTTCACATAAAAACTAGACAGAAGAAAACTGAGAAACTTCTTTGTGATGTGTGCATTCATCTCACAGAGTTAAACCTTTCTTTAGATTCAGCAGTTTTGAAACTCTCTTTTTGTAGAATCTGGAAGTGGACATTTGGAGCACATTGAGGCCTATGGTGGAAAAGGAAATATCTTCACATAAAAACTAGACAGAAGAATTCTGACAAACTACTTTGAGGTGCGTGCATTCATCTCACAGAGCTGAACCTTTCTTTTGATTGAGCAGTTTGGAAACACTCTCTTTGTAGAATCTGCTAGTGGACATTTGGTGCACTTTGTGGCCTATGGTAGAAAATGAAATATCTTCACATAAAATCTAGACAGATGCAATCTGAGAAACTTCTTTGTGATGTGTGCATTCATCTCACGGAGTTAAACTTTTGTTTTGATTGAGAAGTTTTGAACCTCTCTTTTTGTAGAATCTCCAAGTGGATATTTGGAGCACTTTGACACTTATGGTGGAAAAGCAAATATCTTCACATAAAAACTAAACAGAAGAATTCTGAGAAACTTCTTTGAGATGCGTGAGTTCATCTCACGGAGTTGAACCTTTCTTTTGATTGAGCAGCTTGGAAAGTCTCTTTTTGTAGAATCTGTGAGTGGACATTTGGTGCGCTTTGTGGCCTATCGTAGAAAATGAAATATCTTCACATAAAATCTAGACAGAAGCAATCTGAGAAACTTCTTCATGATGTGTGAACTCATCTCACAGAGTTAAACTTTTATTTTGATTGAGAAGTTTTAAAACTCTCCTTTTGTAGAATCTGCAAGTGGACATTTGGAGCACTTTGAGACCTATGGTGGAAAAGGAAATATCTTTACATAAAAACTAGACAGAACAATTCTGAGAAACTTCTTTGTGATGTGTGCGTTCATCTCACAGAGTGGAAACTTTCTTTTGTTTGAGCAGTTTGGAAACACTCTTTTTGTGGAATGTACATGTGGACATTTGGAGCACTTTGCGGCCTATGGCAGAGAAGGAATTGTCCTCTCATAAAATCTAGACAGAAGCAATCTGAGAAACTTCTTTCTGATGTTTGCATTCATCTCAGAGAGTTAAAGCTTTCTTTTGATTGAGCAGTTTTGAAACTCTCTTTCCGTAGAATCTGCAAGCGGACATTTGGAGCGCTTTGAGGCGTATGGTGGAAAAGGAAATATCTTGACGTTAAGACTAGACAGAAGAATTCTGACAAACTTCTTCGAGATGCGTGTGTTCATCTCACAGAGTTAAACCTTTCTTTTGATTGAGCAGTTTCGAAACACTCTTTTTGTATCATCCAGAAGGGGACATTTGGAACGCTTTGCAGATTATGGTAGGAAAGGAAATAACTTCATATGAAATCTGGACAGAAGCAATCTGAGAAACTATTTTGTGATGTGTGCATTCATCTCACAGAGTTAAACCTTTCTTTTGATTGAGCAGTTTTGAAACTCGCATTTTGTAGAATCTGCAAGTGGACATTTGGAATGCTTTGAAGCCTATGGAGGAAAAGGAAATATCTTCACATAAAAACCAGACAGAAGAATTCTGAGAAACTTCTTTGTGATGTGTTGTTCATCTCACAGAGTTGAACTTGGTTTTGATTAAGCAGTTTGGAAACACTCTTTTAGTAGAATCTGCAAGTGGACATTTGGAGCGGTTTGTGGCCGATGGCACCAAAGAAAATATCTTCACATAAAATGTAGACAGGAGCAATCTGAGAAACTGCTTTGTGATGTGTACATTCATCTCATAGAGGTAAAGCTTTCTTTTGATTGAGTCGTTTTGAAACTCTCTTTTTGAAGAATCTGCAAGTGGACATCAAGAGCGCTTGAGGCCTATGGTGGAAAAGAAAATATCTGCATATAAAAACTAGACAGAAGAATTCTGAGAAACTCCTTTGTGATGTGTGCATTCATCTCGCAGAGTTGAACCTTTATTTTGATAGAGCAGTTTGGAAACACACTTTTTGTAGAATCTGCAAGTTGACATTTGGAGCACGTTGTGGCCTATGGTAGAAAAGTAAATATCTTCACATAAAATCTAATAGAAGCAATCCGAGAAACGTCTTTTTGATGCGTGCATTCAACTCACAGAGTGAGAGCTTTCTTTTGATGGGGCAGTTTGGAAACTCTATTTTTGTAGAATCTGCAAGTGGACATTTTGAGCACATTGCGGCCAATGGTGGAAAAGGAAATACCTTCACATAAAAACGAGACAGAAAAATTCTGAGAAACTTTTTTGTGACGCGTGCGTTCATCTCAGAGAATTGAACTTTTCTTTTGGTGGACCAGGTTGGAAACACCCTTTTTGTAGAATCTGCAAGAGGACATTTGGAGCACTTTGCGGCCTTTGGTAGAAAATGAAATATCTTCACATAAAATCTAGACAGAAGCAACCTGAGAAACTTCTTTGTGATGTGTACGTTTATCTCCCAGAGTTGAACATTTCTATTCATGGATCAGTTTTGACATACGCTTTTTGTAGAGTCTGCAAGTGGAGATTTCGAGTGCCTTGAGACCTATGGCGGAAAATGAAATATCTTCATATAAAAAGTAGACAGAAAAATTCTGAGAAACGTCTTTGTGATATGTGGGTTCATCTCACAGAGTTGAAACTTTCTTTTGATTGAGCAGTTTGGAAACATGATTTTTGTAGAATCTGCAACTGGACATTCGGAGCACTTTGAGGCATATGGTGGTTAACGAATTATCTTTACA